>NC_000006.12:100525335-100676850 GCF_000001405.40 Homo sapiens | reverse complement strand
TTTCATTTAACACAATGTATTTTTATTTGTGTAAATAACAAAACTCCATTAAGAAAATCCTCCTTTTGTGTGTGTGTGTGTGTGTGTGAGTGTGTGTGTGCGCGCACGCGCGCGCACACATACATTTGCTTGTAATAAGGCTATTTCTATGCCTTAGCTGCAACTGAAATGAGTCTTTTCTCTCTGGTAGTAACAGTTACACCTCAGGACTTCTCATATAATATTGATCTTTAATATCAAAGTCACCCCCAAGGGAAAAACTACCTATATTTCCAGATTTGTCCACTGAAACAAGAATGTAGGGAAAGGAAAGGAAAGTCTCCCAGGAGTAGTTTAACCTTCAGAAATGGAGCTTGGGGCTCTCCCTGGGCACAGGAATATCTCAGGATGTACAAATGATGCCCAAACCAACAGGACACATTCACAAAAAGGTCTGGTTGTGATTTTACCTCTAGAAGGTTTGTGGCCTTGGACATCTAAACATTTCTGAAACGTACTTTCTCTTCTCTCAAATGGAATAATAATGGAGTAAATAATACCTATTCTAGTTATTTACTATGAGAAACAGATAGAATGATGTATGAAATTATTTTGGAAACTGAACAATGATAAAACTTCACCTGTCATAGAAATCTATTTTTAGAAAATATATATACTAGTAACTAAATTTTAAAATGGCAAAAGGATAATAAACAATATGGATAAAATTTTCTTAATTTACCCTACATATTTAATACTTGTATACTCTCCCCCTCAAAGATTGTGTCTTAAGAAACCACTGTTTTCTATAAAATAGAACATACCTCAAGGAATAGCAGCAGTTTATATTTATAAAATTAAGTATATAATTAAAGATGCATATATTTTCGTTATTAAGCCATTGTTTTTCACTGTGATTTTAATTTTAAGTTAAATGAATCCTTCAGTTAGAATTTTCAGATTCTGTTTTACTTGAGATCTCAATCAAATCAAATTTTTCTGTTAGGGACAAATTTTTAACAGGCTTTAACTGTTCTCATAGGGATTGAGTATTCCCACCCATCCCTTTACCGTATGTTTCTGATTTATGGCCCTGATGTGAGTTCAGTATTTTTACATATATCAGTGATGTTAAGAGTTTGTCTTTTAGATAGAATTTCTACCACGTAATAAGCCTTGTGTCTGTAGTTATTGAAAATATCTATTGAACAAGTTATAAAAAGAGGAAGAATCCAATAGTAATACGTATCCTCAAGCTGCTTTAAAGTATAATTTTCTGACTTTTTATTATGTAGATCTGTCAATCATTTCCTTGTTTTTATAAGTTCAGCTTTAGTCTTTGCCTAAATCAATGGCAACTGGAATTAATGCCAATTTGATTTAGTTATCTGATGCTTACTATTACAGCTTGCTTTAATTTTGCATGAGCAGCTTCGGTGTCAGTATGGCCCAGATTAGAATCGTCTCTTCCGAGATGGTATCTGTTAACTAAAGATAGCATAACAGACTTAGTAGTAGCAGGGATGGTTAATAGCCCTCTTTCTCTTACTTTTGTTTTTTGCTTTAAATATATGCAAAATATCATCTTCACAGAGTTTATTCTTTCCCTGCCATATCTTAACCTATTTTCCTCTTGGAGGCTAATATAGTAATTTTACTGTCAGTTACCACCACATAGGATGTCAAAAGTGTATTAGTATTTTTTAAATAAAATCAAACAAAATTGTAAAAAAAAAAAAAACAACTGTTTGCTTAATTGCATTTTTGGGAGCATGACTTTTCTGTTTTCAAAGGGAGGTAACCTCATATAGAATAAAAACTTTGGATCTAAGCAAACCTGTGTTTTAATGTTGATTCACACACTCTGCCTTTTTAACATCCTCAAGCCACATTTCATCACATACAAAGTGGCAATGATGCCTATATTTTAAGATTTTTGTGGCCAGTTGCAGTGGCTCATACCTGTAATCCCAGCACTTTGGGAGGCCGAGGCAGGCAGGTCACCTGAGGTCAGGAGTTTGAGATCAGCCTGGCAACATGGTGAAACCCCGTCTCTACTAAAAATACAAAAAAAGCCATGCATGGTGGCATACGCCTGTAGTCCCAACTACTTGGGAAGGCTGAGGCAGGAGAATCGCTTGAACTTGGGAGGCGGAGGTTGCAGTGAGCCAAGATCGCGCCACTGCACTCCAGCCTGGGTGACAGAGGGAGACTCTGTCTCAAAAAAAAAAAAAAAAAAATTCTGTAATAAATAAGCTAACATATACCTTGCCTAACACATGGTAGATATTCTGTAAATGTTTACCCATGAGTTTTGAAGAGAAAGAAGATAACAGTTTAAAACAATAATAGATGAGACAAAAATTAAACTTAATGCTTTGGAACAATAAAAAATAATATTGAATTGTAAAAAGCAGTAAGCAGGTTGGTGGAAGAAATATTAGGAACAGCAACAACAGACCAGTTAATATCTACATCTTTATATGTATACTTATTAAATTTAATAACTTAAAACATGAAGTTTCCAGGAAGAAAATAAGCAAGAAGAAGAAATAAAGTGGGTAAACAAACTTTGGATGAAAAAAAATTTCTTAAAAAATTATGTAATATATATTCATCAATATATTATCAAAATCTAAACATAATAGTACCCAATTCTGAAGATGATTTGAGAAGATTTTCTGTAGTATTGATCAATTCAATACTTTAAAAAAATTTTTGATAATAGATTTAAAAGCCAAGCCAAGGGTCTTATTCCAGACCTTTTAACTTTGAAATTCTAAACCTGGGAATTTTTCAAAGGAAAGATTAAAAGAAAAAGTTAATATACACCAAGATTAAACAGTTCAGAGGAAATGTAAAAGAGAAGCAGATTAATTCAAGCCAGTAATTTTAAATTTCAATAGGCAGCAACAGGGAAAGGACGTTCCAAAGAGAGAAAAAAGAGAACACAGGCAAAGGAAAACTCTGGGTTTATTTGGAGAATAAGAATGTTCTCTATTCACAGGAATGTAAGGTGCATGGAGGGCTAGGCATGGTCAGACAATGGAAGACTTTAAATTCCATGCCTAGGCTTTTAGACTTTATATGCAGTGAGAAGCTATTGAAGATTGTTGAAGAGTCAAGTTGTGTGACCAAAATTCACGTACTGAAAAGTAGGATTCACTTTCTTCCAATCAAGGGACATTGTTGTGGCCCATGTGTTCATTTCAGTGTAGTCTAACATGTGGTTCACTTTGAATAAGTGAGACTCTTTTTAAAGAACATAGTAAATAGCATTGAAATTTTATCCTTGTTTCTTTTGTTATTCCTTTTAAGGAAATTTTGATTGTAGCTATTTTTTTTTCTGTGCTTTAAGATGCATTTTAGAAGCATAGAATAAATTTCTTACAATAAATTAATACATCTTGTTAAGGAATCATGCTGTTTTGACAAAAATATGTTAATTAGAATGTTGTTTTTCACTCACTTGAAAATACTTGAGTAGAGGAAGCACTCTAAAGACATCAGATTAATAAATAATGTTATAAATTCCTAGGGGTAGAGAGATTTGTAATGATAAAATTTAAAATCAAAAACATATTTCATGTTGTGATTTAATTTTTTTAATTTTTCTATTTATTTACAGATGGCCAATTGAATTAAAATAATGCAATTTTAGATGAGATTTATCTTTTTCTAATTAGGGTCCTCTCTCTGGAATGCCAACTTATTTCTATTAATAGTCAGGACAGCCCATATGGGAACTAGGATCATCTTTCAAGGAATATGACATGAAACAGAGCAAATAGCACTTTCTTTCTCCCAAGTTAAAGTGCATAATTAACACAATCAGAATAACATATGGAAATTAGTTATTGGGATTAGGCTAGTCTGGGTGATTGTGACTTGTTTATATACACATGAGCCTTAAACTGTTTTTTGTCGTGATCACTCAGCAAATATTTACTCGGTGTAAGCTGGTTACCAGTCATTTTAATAGATCATTGGGTATCAATATAAATAAAGTGCTGTCAACCTGTTTATAGTGAATTGAAGTAGACACATGTATCAGTTATGATTTAGTAAAAGGAACAGAAACCATTCTAGGTACATTTTAAATAAAAAAGAATTTATATAAGAAATTAGGTACTTATTAGAAATTTGGTAAAATCAGAGGAGTAGAAGTCCAGAGCTACTACTACAGATCTTGAATTTAACAACCAGTTACATGATGGTGATTAGCAGTTTAAAAGCCACAGCTATTACTACAGATGCCTTCCAACATTTGTGAACACACTAGAAAACCAAATTTTGAATGTATAGTACATCTGTTAAAACTTTCAACCCTTCTGTCTCCAAAATCTTGCTTGCTAGAAAAACACAATAAGAGATAGTTATCTCTTCATTTCCATCATCCAGATCTTGCCTGAATGCTTTTAATTAGCAGAATGGACTTTATCATCTAGTAACCTTACTATATGAGATCTGGGAAATTATATTCCAGTCCAGGCAATACAGTAAGACTCCTAGAAGGAGGTAAGACCAGATATTATATGTAGACTAATATTATTTGCTTTAATTAGAAGTGGAAATATTTTTAGGGAGGAAAAAGTAGTCATCCCTTTACGCTTATGGAGCTTATATTCTGGAAGGACAGAAAGATTAAACAACTAATTAAATAATTGATTTTAATTACATTTGAAATAAATAATAAAGAGGGATAAAGTGCTAAGAAAAAATTGAGTTAGAGAATCTGATCTAGACCCATGGTGTTAGAGGATGGTGTTGACCAACAAAGTGACATTTAAGCTGATCTGAAGGCTAGGAGTTGACAAAGCAAAAGAGAACAGACAAGAATTCAAAGAAAAGGCTGACATAAAAACATGCACATTGAAGCAAATAAGAAAAACAAATCAAGATGACTAAAATGTAAATAGTGACAGGGAGTGGCAGATGGCAACTATGTGGCATGAGTCTAATCTAGGCAAGGACCAGATGTAATACCCTCAGTTGCTTGCTACCAGTTTTTTAAAAATCATGTTATTTAATCATGTATTTGTGTTAGTTTAGAAGTAAATGTTGGGAAATAGTCACATTTTTACCTTATTTTTAAAAGCATTGACATTGTGTTTTTTCTCTCATGAGTAGGAAAACGTTATGTAAAGTCGTGGAAAGAAGTTCTGCATGCTTTCACTGGGGGAAAGGAATATAATGCCTTAATTGTGCTGATGGATTATCTTAGCAGTTGCCCATTCCGTTTGAGTTTTACTGACTATAAAGCCCTGTGTGGAAAGTTCACTTGTGAAAACTGGAAAGATTAAGTCAGAGGAAACCAAACTTAGACAGTTCTGAAACTACATACCTTACTTCCTTTACCTTTTCACAGCTGGTATTCTTTTGTGCTGGATTTCCATGTGTAGAACACTTTATCCAGTGAGTATAGTATTGGATCTCAAATGGCTTCTGTGGAGAATCCAAATCGTCTGTTCACAAAATGTGAACAAGATAAAGTATATCTCTGTAGTTATTCAGACAGTAGCAAAACCTGGGCTCCGTGTAGTGCTAGCTTTGGAGAACCGAGTAGAAAAAGCAGTGATTTTTCTGATGCTTTAGAAAGCAGCAGGCATCTTATAGTAAACAAGTTTAGCTCCATAATTTATGGTCTTAACCATCTCTTTGTCCTTCATTTCTCCAAATAAAACTTCTTTTAAAAAGCTTCTTACATTTCTTTTGAGGAAAGATTTGTACAACAACCATTGTGTGTTTGCCTGTGTGCATGGGTATATGTTTTAATACAAAAAAGTTGCATCATGTTATATACACCTTTTTGTCTTTTTCTTTTTCATTTAGTAATATAACAAGGAGGTCTTTCCAAATCAACTCAGAAAGATGGGTTTCATTCTTTTTGCAACTGTATAATATGTCACAATGTGGATATTACAGTAATTCATATATGGAATCCTATATTGATGGATACTTTTGTTGTTTCCAGTTACCTTTTATTGTTAACAATGCTGCAGTACACATTTTCGCTCCTACTCTTGCAATGATATACATTAGAAAAATTCGTAGCAGTGAAATTTATCTGTCATGTACTACATGCATTTAAAATTTTGATGAGTGGCCCTAAACTGCCTACTGGAGATATTGTTCCAATTTATACTTCCTCCAGCAGTTGTTACAGATGGCCCTCCATGTCCATGGGTTCCATGAATTCAGCCAACTGCGGATTAAAAGAATTTGGGGGGGAAAAAAAGTTGGTTGTATCTGTTCTGAACATGCACAGATGACTTTTCTGCAGATTAAAAGAATTTGGGGGGGGGGAAGATGGTTGTATCTGTTCTGAACATGCACAGATGAATTTTCCTTGTCATTATTCCCTAAACAATACAGTATAACTACTTATATAACACTTACATTGTATTAGGTATTATAAGTAATCTAGAGATGATTTAAAGTATACAGGCAGACAGTGTAAATTATATGCAAATATCACACCATTTTATATAAGGGACTTAAGCATCCATGGTTTGTGGTGTCTACAGGGGAAGAGAAGGTGTTTGTTGAATCAATCCCCCATGGATACCATGGGAAGACTGTGCTTTACCCCCACATAACTTTGCCAGCACTGGGTAGTGTTAACGTTTTTAAGTTTATAACAGATTAACAGGCAAAAAATGGTACTTCATTATTATTTTGATTGGCATTTCTTTAATTATGAGTGAAACTGAGCATTTTTTACATTGGCTATTTGTATTTCCTATTCTTTAAATTGTTCATAATCTTGGCCCGTTGTGTACTAAACTGCATGTTTAGTACATATAGGTTACATAAACTTTTTCTGTTTAATCCTTGATGTTTATTTTTGTTTATGATTTTTTTTACCATGTAGAAATTCCGTAAATTTATTTATGGTTTCTGGGTTTTATGTGTTGCATATAAAAGCCATACACCTACTTCATCTGTGATTTCTTCAAGCCTTATATTTTATTTTTATTATTAAATACTTGATGTTTCTGAAACTTATTTCAGATAGTGGTGGGCACATCATCTTTTTCTAAATACTGTTTTTTCTGTTGATTAAAAAATTTAATATACAATATTCTCTTATTTACTTGAGTCATTTCTGAAATTTCTCTTCTGTGTCATTGATCTTATTGTTTCTTCTTTTTTATCAAACTGTTTTACTTATTTTGTTTTCATAGAATTCTCAATAACTGATTGGATTAAACATCCTGATTATTCTTCAGTTGTAGAATTTCTCCTGGATAAATTTTCAGTCTTACTTTTCAGGATGAATTTTAGTATTCCCTCCAGGAAATCATGTTCATATTTTAGTTAAGTTAGTGCATTGATTTTACACATTAAGTTAATGAGAAATGGTATTTTTGCCAAATCAAGTTTTCCTGTCTCAAAATTAAATCTATTATTTCTTGAATGTTCTTCAGCAATATTATAAAACTTTATATGGATCCTGGCTATCTCTTATTATTTCTGTTTTTGCTGTTATAAAAGTGATTTTTTCCACTTATTTTATGAGTTATTGTCTGTGTATATATATATAGTGTATATATGTCTTTTTATAAAACTTTTATAAAATATATTTTTATAGTAAAGATTAATACTTTATATTAAAATGAAAGAAAAGAAAAATATATTTCTTTACATTTTTAGAAAATATGTAATATAAAAAATATTTTACATAATATTAAGGAAAAGAAAAATGTTTTCATAAAAGAAATACTTTTATAAAAATATTAAATTTTTGAGACTATCATCTTTCCAAATTCTTTTATTTTATTTAGTATATTTTAGTCAGTACTCAGTTTTCTAAATAAACACTTTATCTACAACAAATAATTAATTTATAATTATACCTTTTCAGTATTTATATTCGTTTTTTCTCATGTCTAGTATTGTCTAGAACATCAATAGACTGATACCAAACAACCTTGCCTACTCCCTAATTTTAATTAGTATACTCTGTATGTTTACTATTAAGCATAGTTTCAGATGTATATTGTCATCTCTAATCATCAGGACTGAATGTAGCCTTTTGTCAAAATTCAATGTCTGCACATGATCATAATGTTCTTTCTTTTTTGAATTATTAAATATGTTAACATATTAAGTACAATGCCCTTGCATTCTGGGGTTGAAGAGTACTTAGTTGTGGCATTTTGTTTTAATGCATTGATGAATTCTGTTTTCTAAAGTTCTTTACTATTTAGAGTAATATTTGTAAGAGAGATATTGTTATTGTATTCACTTTTCTGCTTTGTCAGGTTTTAATATCAGTGCCATTATATTCGCTTGTAGAATCAGTTTAAGTGTTCTGTTTCTGTCCTCTAGAGTCTCTTAATAGCATTAGAATTAATTCATCTTTAAAAATTTGAAAGCCCAGCTGTTAAATTTAACTCTTAAATTTTCTTTCATTATTTTTATCATTTTAGAGTTTTCTGTCACTTCTAGGTTAAATATTAGTAACAATATTTTCCTAGAAAATCATCCATTCCAAACAGTTTAAGTGAAATGCACTGAATTTTACAAAGTGCTCTTTTCTGATTCTTTTAAACTGTAGTATATTTCTTTCATATTCTTTCAAATTGTGATATTTTCGTTTTGCTGATATTGGGTCTTGTGCTTGTGCTGTTGTACTTGTGTACAGCTATACAGATTATTTTACTTAAAGACCAGGTAGTAAACATTTTAAGCTTGTAGACATATGATCTCTCCCACAACTATTCATTCAGCCCTCCTGTTGTAGCTCAAGCAGCCTTAGACAATCTGTAACAAATTGATATGGCTGTTTTCCAATAAGTTTTATGTACAAAAACAGGTAGTTGGCACATATTTTGCCAGCTCCTTCTCTAGTCAGTAATGGCCACTGTCTATTTTTGTTTGATTTTTTTCTTTTAAGGTAAGAGTGTTAATTTTTTTTCTCAATTTCACAATCTTTAAATCATTGGTTCTACCAATGATTACCTAACTGGTCTCCCTTATTTCTCTCCTTCTCAGAAATCTTCAGTGGCTTTCCATTTATTTAGAAGAAAAGCCCAAGTCTTTATCCATGGATCACTTCAAACTCATGCGCAAAACATAATTTACTCCTGACCTTCTTAGTACCTAAGTTAAAGGCAATCATTGACTCTCCTCATTCTGTTTACCTTATCGTATATTCAGTGCACCAAGATAAGGATTAGCTTGAAACAATTCTAACTCCTTTTCTTTTATGTCATGTTCATCCCCCTTTCTAGACAGTCATCCAGTCTTGGTTACTTTCTAGCCAACTTTAACCTTGACTTTGTTTGGTTATTTCTGTTTCCCCTGCCTCCATCTTCTGCAGATTGCTGTAGTGGCCGATACCTGCTCTGGTCTTAGCACAACTGTGAAGTTACCTCTCTAAAGAACAAATCTGATACTGCTTAAAAACTTGAATTGGCTCCTTTTCCACCTATGTTCAAGACAATGTAAAGCCTGACCCCAATCCTTTTTTCTAGCTTAATTTTCTTAATTTTTGCCCCACACCCTCTGAACAGAATGCCCTCCAAACACACTGTGTGTGCTCTTTAATAATTCCCAGCTTAGGTACTTATATATCCTGCTGCCTACCTTTCCCCATTTAGCAGTTTATCCCTTGTCCTTCAAGACTCACGTTTCACATTTTCTGTAAAGACTTCTTTGATCAAACTATCAGATCACTGATTCATTCATTCAGGGAATGTGTAGTATCAGTATGAAGAAGGCACCCTGCCAAATGTTAGCGATACAAATGTAAATAAGACATAATTTTGTCATAAATGACAATATCATGTCATAAATAACAAAGTTTCATCTTGGTCCCTGTACCTCTATCATAAACACATTATATTTAATAGAAATCACTTGTATATGAGTCTGTCTTCCTTACCAGTCTGCAAATTATCCAAAGCTCAGATTTTGTCTTAAATTTCTTTGAATTCCTAGGATCTAATATATGATAAATACATGTTTCTTATTGATCTTCTCTTTGATTCTTTACAGTGCTTTTTTTTTGTCTGTTAGTGACTATCATGTTTCATAAATTTGTTAGGAGGTACTCTTCTTAGGAATGTAAATAATTTAGTACAATAACAAATACGAGGTTGCTTAGCACTAAATAGTCTCATGAGGTCAAATTGTACAGCTGTATTATAACACAGGTGGATAAAAACATCATTGCAAATATCCTTCTGTAAAAAACTCGCTCCTTATACTTTTGTGTGCAGTAGAATCACTTGAGGAGCTGATTAGATATGCACATCCAAGAACATGGAAGATGTTTAACATCATTAACTGTTAAGGAAACTTATGTTAAAACCATGGTAAGATACTACCACACACCTGTTACAATTGCTAAAATAAAAAATAATAATTATATAATGTATGGGAAGCTGGCAAGTATGGGAAGCAACTGGAACTGTTATACAATGCTGATGCAAATGCAAAATGTTAAAATTCTCCAGAAATGCTTTGGCATTTTTATAAAAGTAAACATACATTAACCATGTGACCCGTAAGATTCATGCCTGGTATTTACTTTGGAGGAATGAAATCATATTAATATATACAAAAAAGTGTACATGAATGTTTATAAATGTTCTGTTTATAATTGTGAAAACTGGAAACAACCCCCATGTCCTTCAGTGAGAGGTCCGATTAACAGACTGTAATGTGCCCATCTGTAGTACCGTGGAATACTACTCAGCAATAAAAAGGAATGAGATATTGATATATGCAACAACTTAGATGAATCTCAAAGCCATTAATCTGGGTGACAGAAACTAATTTCAAAAGTTTATAAGCTTTCTGACTCAATTTATATAGTGGTCTTGGAGAGACAAAACTATAGGGTTGGAGTACAGATTAGTACAGTGGTAGTAGTTGCGAAGAGTTTAACTATAAAGAAATAGCATGAGGGGGTTTTTTTAAGGTGGAGAAACTCCTCTTGATTATGATGGTAGCTACACAAATCTAACACAAATATGTCTTAAAATTCTTAGATGTGTACACTAAAAGTGGAAAAATAGTTTTGCTTTATGATGATTTTTAAAATCACATGAGGAACATCCCTGGGCCTCATCTCCAGGGATTCCAGTTCATTTTTTTTTCTTCTTTTTTTTTTGTTTTTTGAGACAGAGTCTCACTCTGTCGCCCAGGCTGGAGTTCAGTGATGTGATCTCGGCTCACTGCAGCCTCCACCTCCTGGGTTCAAGTGATTCTCTTGCCTCAGCCTCCCGAGTAACTGGGACTACAGGCACATGCCACCATGCCCGGCTATTTTTTTTTTGTTTGTTTGTTTGTTTTTGTTAGTAGAGACGGAGTTTCACCATGTTAGCCAGGATGGTCTTCATCTCCTGACCTCGTGATCTGCCTGCCTCACCCTTCCAAAGTGCTAGGATTACAGGCATGACCCACTGTGCCCGGCCAGATTCCAGTTCATTTTTGTTGTGAGCTAAGGCAGACCACAGATGGAAAATTCAGATTCAAAGATAGTTAAGAATAAAAAACCCAGACTTACTTTGATTGTTGTCACTTCAAGTCTGTAATGAACCAATAAAAAAAATGCACAGAGTATGCAAGAATAGAAATAGAAGTGACTCCTACCTCCTCCTAGTTCCTCACAGAGACCAGAGAGATATACCAAGTTGGTGGCCACTGACGCTGGTTGAATGTGAAACTGGCCACTGATGCTGGTTGAATGTGAAACCCATGTGATCAAGTGGGAGGTACTATGTCAGTACTCCAAGATCCACCTGCTACTTTATAAGAAACATCTCTATCACAGATACATACTTCCCTTGTTTAACTTCTTACTGTGTCATTGGTGCCACAGCAGTCCTAGCCATGTCTTCCCTCAAATGGGGTTTGACTAAGGAATCTATTTGTAAGAAGGACAGCAGAACATTTCAATGCAGGGAGCCCACAGAAAGCAGACTTAACCTAAAACCAAACAGCAATCCAGCAATATGATTTGAATATCACCTTCAACCAATAGTTTTAGTTTCCTCTGTTGGCTTTGAATATCCACTCTTGAATATTAGAAAAGAAATGAAGTAAGTGAAATGTTTCTCCTCTCCCTACCTTTAGCCTCTGAAGGAGCTCTTAGCAAATACACCACAATTGGACTTTTTTCCATATTCATAAGAGCTGCTTTAAGATTACAGTAACAATATTGCTTGTCTGAAAAGATGAAAGCTGAGGCAATGAGATCCAAGTGTAATTAGTCCTAAAGTATATGTATAAAATAATTTCTAACAGGCTGACTGCACTGCATAAGAATAAAGTAAGAATACACCCCCCTTGAAACTTTAAGAAGCTCTCCTCTTTTGTTATGTTTATATATGTATTTTGTTTTGGACCCTTAAGAGGCTCAAAATGTGTAAGTTGTTATTTACTTGGTTGGCCACTAGATGGTGTGGTTTGTTAATGCATTACTTTTGGTTTTATAATTGAAGCAGATTTCATGGAATACTATTTTCTTAGATAATTTTATTAGTTAAATATTATTAACTTAGAAGTTTAAAATTTTAAGTGACCTGAGAGATAATCAGTATGGCAAAGTCTAGAATGGAACCCCAGTCCCCTGAAATCTTACTCCCTGCCATTATCCAGCCCTTAAGTAAAAAGTGTAGGGAAAAAACTGTTCAAAAAGAAGCTCATGAATTGATAATGAGATTTTGAGACCAATAGCAAATAAACACATGATGTGATGGCCAAACAGAAGCTTTAACTATATAAACATTTCTTTAAATGTTAATCTAAGGTCTTTAATTTTTCTTAAAAATTCTGCCTATTGTATAGTGAATCTTCAGTGAGTCTTTTAAGACCTTCTGCTACAGCACTTACACAGGTGACATATAAGTATACTAAATCTCACCTCTGGGCTCAGATTAGGCCAAAGAACAGAACCAGAAGTAACATTATTACAGTAGTCCCCCCTTATCCATGGGGTATATTTCCAAGATATGAAACCACAGATACTAGTGAACTAACTTGATTGGTGTCAATTAAGTGCGTTTTTGTTTTCGTGTCTTCCACCCACAAATTTAAAGCCTTTTTCATCTTAACTATGTATCACACTGTAGCTGTAACTTGCAATTTGAGGTGCAACAGCAAAACTAACACAAATTTCTGTTTTCTTCTTTGTAATTTCACAACTAGAAGATTTGTTGCTCTTACCATCGATTTTAGCAACCTCAGCATACAATTTCGTTTTTATTCCCTTAAGTTGAAAACTTTCACCTTTTCACATAAAGGAAACACTTTATGGCTTCTCTCTGGCAAATTCAAGTTGCCAGCATCACTAATGTTGTGCTTCAGGGCCATTATTAAGTAAAATAAGGGTGACTTGCAAACACTGTGATACTTAAACAGTCAATCTGATAACCAAGCCTACTACTAAGTGACTAATGGGTGAGAAATGTCTACAGCTTATATATGCTGGACAAAGGGACGATTCATTTTCTGGGCTGGATGGAATAGGACAGTGTGAGATTTCATCATGCTACTCAGAAGAGCATGTAACTTAAAACATGATTTGTTTATTTCTGGAATATTCTACTTAATATTTTTGGACCACAGTTGACCTCAGGTAATGGAAACCACAGAAAGCAAAACTACAGATAAGGAAGGACTCCTCTATACTCAATGCACATCTATAGTTGAGGAGCTAAAACAGATGGTCAATGCTTTGCTATCAAAGATCACCAAGAACACAGCTGTAGGTGAACAAAGCTGGGTTTATTGACTTATCGCAATGAGGAATATCATAGGGGAAGCATCATGGGGATCTCAATAAGAAGGGAGAAGTCCTCAAAGGCAGTGGGTCTGAAGTAAAAGTGTAAAGGCTCTGAAGCAGATATGGACTTGTTGGAAAATATACTCAGAAAAGCCAGCCATTGTGGCTAGTGTGGATGAGGTAAGGGGATGAGATTGATTTCCATAGTCTTGCATTGTAATGACTCTGGCCTTTACTCTTAAGGAGTTGAGAAGCCACTGAGATTTAGTTTTATTTTGAATAGTGTATATTTTGAAGGCTAAGAAACAGGTAATACTGATTGATTGCAAAAAGGGACATCTGGATGAAAGAGACACTTGCTTTTCACCTCTTTCCTTTTGAATTTTGTGATATATTTTGGTATTACCTATTTTTTAAGATAGGTAACATTATTTTTTATGATTTTATATAAAGCATTATATACTAAGACCTAGTAATACCTTAAGATGCTTAAAAATAATTTTCTGATTTCTTTGATGAACTCATACAACAGAAATGCTAAAAACAATTGCTTTTAAATGCTAAATAATACTCTTACGCTTTCTTGGTATCTAGGTACAAAGGTCGAGAAATAAGCAAGTACGAGAATTATTCCCAGATGGTTTTAGTATTCATCATGCAGGAATGCTTCGGCAGGACAGAAATTTAGTTGAAAACTTGTTTTCTAATGGGCATATCAAAGTCCTAGTGTGTACAGCTACGTTAGCCTGGGGTGTCAATCTTCCCGCCCATGCTGTTATTATTAAGGTAAGAGCTTACCTTCCTTGATAAATGGATTTTGTGTGTGTCTTAAAGCAAGGCTCTGGGTTGACTTACATAGAAAAATATTGTGATTTGGCTGTTTCCTTGACTTTGAATGTTATTTATAAAAGGTCAGAATTATTTTCTCCAATAAGAATCTAGTTTATATTGTGAAAATTTTACTCTATCACAGATGATGAAAGGATTAGTTAAAGTACACTTTTGAGATCTTGCCATATTTGCCTAATTTCAGTATTCAGTTCATCAGGATTATATTTGTGTGTGTTTATGTAAATTTTTGTTAACTTTTCCTCATCTAGGGAACACAAATATATGCTGCAAAAAGAGGCTCCTTTGTTGACCTTGGAATTTTAGATGTCATGCAGATATTTGGTCGAGCTGGACGACCACAATTTGACAAATTTGGGGAAGGAATAATTATAACAACGCATGATAAACTCAGCCATTACCTCACTTTGCTCACTCAACGAAACCCAATTGAGAGTCAGTTTCTGGAAAGCCTTGCAGATAACCTAAATGCAGAGGTAAGATCTAATGAGTAAAAGTTTGGAATAGAATCATCAGCCTTAAGAATGACCAAGAAAGATGAAGATTGAGTTGGTTGCTGTTTTGTAGTGTTTAGGATTACAGCCTATGCCATATAAGTTATAAGACAAAACAGGGTGAATGGCATTATTGTTGATTAATTCAGAGGATTATAGAATGATAACTGATAAAAATCTATTGTTAAAAGACCATACTTTTAAACTATGAGGCTTTCCTAGAGACCAGAAATCTAACAAAGACTATAGAAAATATGGAAACAGAAATAGCAATAATAATTAATATTTGTATGGCACTTTTGCAAAGTTTTAAATGAAATTTTTACTAAAGGTTTAATGAAATTTATAAAACTCTTTTAGCTCTATTAGGTCAGTTGATTAACTTTGTTATACACAATGTGATTGAGCTAGATTATGATCATTTGTTTTGTGTGTGTGTGTGTGTGTGTGTGTGTGTGTGTGTGACTTTTGTGTTAAGATTTACATAGCAGACCCTGGAAGCCTAGGTAACATCTTAACTGGTAAAGAAAATAAACATTCTTAAAATTTAGAGTATATGTATAGAACATTAAAATCAGGTTTGACTGTTTTTGTGACATTTTAAATTATTGCTTTGGTATTCAACACTTTGCTAGTTCAGTATTCTTTCATACCTTTAAAGTTGACTCAAACAATACTTGAAAGTAGGTAGGATATAAATATTAAGTAAATGAATACTTTGAAATATTTGTAATCAAATACTACTTATTTTGTACAAAGTCCTATATTAGGTACTTCTTAAAGAGCTTATACAAATTTCATTTAACATTCCATTCATATTATTGATAAGTCTTTTTAGAGAATGAAAAACACACTTACTATTTCATTTTCTCTATTAAGAAGTGTATATTCCAAAAGGGGAGAAAAAGACATGAAAACACAGTGCAATAATGTTGGAAAGACAGTTCTGTAGAAGGATTCAGCAGAAGGAGAAAATAGGTTTCTCCCAGGCTATCAGGAAAGTCTTGGTTCATGAATGTGGTAAAATTTGATCCAGTGAGAGTATCTTTATTTTATGAGAAAATTGGGACTTTTAGGTGAAGTGAGTTAGAGTAACAGCTTGTCTAGTGCAGAAGATCTGTGTTGGAGAGTATTCACTGCCAGAATTGGGACAGTCATTCAAAGAATGGATAAGTTTTAGAAGATAACGGTTAGAGAGAAAAGCATGAAAGGCCTCATTTTCTATTAGCAAAATTACAAGAACATTTTTGAAAACTGAGAAATAAAATTTGAATCCAAAGGAAATATTATGATAGCTCAATTTCAGTCTTACTGGCTACTGTAATTGTGTGGCTTAAATAACTACGTGTTGGGTTAACAGTGTCTAATGTACAGAACAAAGTCTCTTAATATAAAATGATAGTGGCAGTGAACTGAGGACCTGCTGTATACCAGAGACTCTGCTCAGTGCTTCACGTACATTATCTTATTCTCTCAATACTGCTGCTATGGAGATATTATCCAGAGAGTGATATGTAACTGACCCAAGGTCACTACATTATAATTTTTGAAACTAGTATTCAAACTCAGATCTATTTAACTCTAAACCTAGACTTTTCATTATAGCTTAGATTTCTTTTATATAAAATGTAGTAAGTTAAAGGTGAATACATTTCCCTATATTAATATATAGCATTTGCCCTCTTCTCAGGCCTCTATTAAAAACATTTTCCAAAATGGTAGCCATAATTTTTCTGACTTACAGTAAAAGGCATGGTTCTTTCATGCACGTCATGAAATGCATGTCAAGGAAGACTATATTTCAAATGTAGAGGCCTTAAATCCAAGGACAAGGTGTTTGCATAACATTCTACAGAGATGGGATGAACTCTGTATAAAAAATGTATGTAGTATGTAAGGTGAAAGAAAGATTAACGTAGTTTTGAAGAACAGACTTAAATGCTAAAGTTAAATATGAAGTGATATCTTAAAACGCATGAATGCATGTCAAGGAAAACTATATCTCAGTAAACTTATGTCCTTAATAGCTTTTTGTAATTGGTAAAATAAACACAAGTTGGCAATATTATACAGAAGACACAAAGTCAGTAAAATACTGCTTTTTTCTTCAAGTAACTCTTTTTCTTAGGGACTGTAAAATAGCATCACTAAAACTATTTGATCAAGCCCTGAGAAATTAAAAATAAATTAGGGCCCATAAATTTATCAAATATTTATAAAGTACTTATTAAATGTGTGATTTTCAGGAATGTCAGCTAGCTATAAGCATAATTCCATTTAGTGATGTAAATGGTATTTAAATAATAAAACATATATCCTGACATTTTTCACCCATATGGTGAAGTATAGCCATTGTTGAACTAACTTGCTCATATTCTAATCTATTGGAATAGTTCCCTATTAAAATAAATTTTCCTGTTAAGGAAACAAACTCTTAAATTATTGTTGAATGTGAAATTAAATTTGGCTATCTGTGGAAATCAAGTGTGAAATTGGTTTATAAAATGAATATGTGCTGTGTTCTTTAGGTAATGAATTTTTAAGTCTTTAAATTCCCCAAATCATTGCAAGACTGTACAGTTGCACTAATCAACATTAGAGTCGTGCTAGATTAAGAATGTTGCCTCTATTAATATCTTTGATATCATGAGTATCAATTCTGACTATTAGTTTAGGAGAACTGGAGAAATTATTATATTAAGTTATAATTTCAATGCAAACATGTTATGAGGCACATTTGCTTATCGATGCATAATGAGACTGACTAAATAATCCTAATGCTGAAAGGTCACAAGTCCCATC
This sequence comes from Homo sapiens, assembly GCF_000001405.40. NCBI lineage: Eukaryota > Metazoa > Chordata > Mammalia > Primates > Hominidae > Homo > Homo sapiens. The sequence goes on along the minus strand of NC_000006.12, from coordinate 100,658,985 downwards.
CATATATAAAGTCACTTAACTTTACACAGAGAAATACTGAGGCTTATTAAAATTTATTCATCAGACATTACTGAGTACATACTCTGTGCCAGCTCCCTATAGTCTGTTCTTCAAAACTATATTAATCTTTCTTTCACTTTACATACTACATACATTTTTTATACGGAGTTCATCTCATCTCTGTAGAATGTCAGGTAAACACCTTGTCCTTGGATTTAAGGCCTCTACAATCTGAACGACCTTGTAATTCTGGCTACAATTACTCTCCAACACAGATCTTCTGCCCTAGACAAGCTGTTGTTATTCTATTCACTTGTAAATAGAGATACTGTCACTGGATTGTTGTGGAAATTTAAGAAATGCCTGTGCCAAGGTAGTTTACAGTAAATGATAGAGTCACTTACCATTTTCTGATAGTCTGTTGATATTCAGCCCCATTCATACTTATTGCCAGCACTGAAATTTTAGTTAAATAAATAAATGAATAGTAGCATAGTTTTTATATATATTTACTAGCTTATATATACATATATACACACGCATGCATACTCATGATGATTAGAGTATTTGCTTAAGTTTTTATATAATTTCAACAATTTTTTAAAAATACATATTCAAATAAACAATTGAGATAACCTTAAATACTAAAGTTAGATATGAAGTGATATTGAGTCTTATTTCTAAATTACCAAATTCGTGGGGGATTTTATTTTTCTCTTTTATTTAACAGAGCATAAAACTATCACACTATATACTAATGCCACTTTTAGAAATGTCATGTTAGATGTTTTTCTTTAAAAGCATTTTGAATAGGTATTATGTGCTAGGCACAATGGATGGTGGGTTTATATATGTCATTGTAGTTAGTTACATATGTCTCACCTCCATGTGACTCTGGAACTTCTTGAGGCCAGGGAGCATACTCTATTTGTTACCATATCCATTGTGCTTTACTCAGCACAGGCTTGTTACTGACTTACTATATGATTTTGAGATGAGGGAATAAATTTCAAAGACACACTATGAAAAAATTCCTGTTTTATAAAAGGTTCCTGTACTAAGTAGCCACTAGGTGACAGCAAATATTTACAAATACATTTTTATTTTTTGTCACTAGGTGGCATTCAAATATTACTCTCAAAATAAGGTATAGCATCATAAATTTACCTTCATTTTTCTGAGTAGTCTTGTCCTTTTTAGTGAACATTTACAACACTTGCTTTAGTTGATCGAATCTTTGCTACCTACTTTTTCCTTTCTTTAATCATATCACTGGTAGCAATAGGTAATTTTTTAATGTTAATTTACTATCTGATTTTGAAAATAATAGCAAGCTTATTTTATCCCTTATAAATTTTTCTACTCATAGGAGTTGTGTGATGTTACTTTAAAATAATATTCTAAGGTTATAAGGGAATGTAGGTCATTATTTTAAAGTAACATCATAAAGTCATGATGGGAATATAGGTCATATGTCTATGGTTTAATACAATTTGGTCTGTCAAATAATGGATTCACAAAGGAGAGACACTCTCAGATTTTTAGCTATATCACCAAACTAGTTTCATTTACCTAAGTAGACTAGAAAATGTTTAACTGTTTTAGTTGTAAATCTTCATGAATTGTTACACAGCTCCCACACTGGCTCAATTTTAGTTCTTGCTACTCTTATTTTGGTGGAAAGGCTTACAGTTTACACTGAGTATATATATTTACCTACATTATGGATGGCTTAGCCGTTTGTAATATAAATTTAAAAGTTAGTAGACAGAATCTCCCATATTATATTTCAACTTTTGGTCATTTCTCTGTTTTAGTAACAAATAGTATATCATAATACTATAATGAAAATTATACATTATAATGAAAATTATAGATTACTAAATCTCATCTTCAACTAACTAAAGACAATTAACCATCCACATATTTATTTCATGAAATTAGTTATACAGAATTATAATTAAAATTATAATGAAGGAGTTAAACATGAAGGTTTTACTTTCTTTAATATTAGGACTAAATCGAGAGGGTTTGTTTTTCCTTTTTTTTCTCCTAAAATTAATAATTTAGGTAGGGAACATCTCTTCTCCTTTAATTAAAGTTTTAGGAGGTTAAAAACAATTTCAGTTAAGGATTCAGGAAAAAAAAATACAACTATGAAGTTTTACAACGTGGGTAAATTTTTAAAGTAAAATAAGTACCTTAAGTAAAAATAAAATTACTACCTATAGAACCATTGGCTAAGGAAATATGTTTCTAAGAAACTTTTCATTGAAATTCTTTGTTAATATCATCTTCTAATAATTTTTTCTCTTTGTTATACAGCTCTTATATGCTATTGTTGTGTTTTTAAATTATTAACCTTTGATTTCATTTAATTAATATATCACAAAGCTACATTAAATGCTATATTTAAAAATATTTTCTTTCAAGATACAATCTGAAGAATTATCCACTGTTTATTATGGTTCAAATGCATGAATATTTTTTCCATAGGTTAAGTTTACTGATAAATAAAAACCACTCCCTGTTCTTGTACATGAGTTTGTTAAAATGTATGTATTATTAATATGTATAAATCACAACAAAATCTGCTTTGTTTCGTGCAAAACAGTGAATTTTTTATTGTATTCATATTACATCTTCACACTCGCAGTCCTGCAAATTCGTGTCTTGGGAGGTAAAAGCTAATGTTATCCCCTCTGTGGTTTTGGTGATGACAGTATACAGAATTAGGATAAAAATGAATAGAATTAACAATGTTTTGTTGTTTTTATTCAGATGCACTTAACACTTACATTTTTCAGCAGTGTAGTCACATAAAATGAAACTAAAATAAGTTGTATACTGAATAAGAAAAAAAAATAACAAATGTCCTTAATGCTATGTAGAATTAAACTCCTTATAAAGAAAAATAATTGTCTGCCATAATATTGAGTAAGTTCAGTTCTGAAAGATAACATTTCTCATGTATCATTCTCAATTAAATGAGGCAGGACTGATTTTAATTAATTGGCAAAGTGTTGTGTCCAGTCACTATGCCTACCTTTTTAAAAATACTGCATAATGATGTATTTTTAAAACTTCACCTCTGACAGAATGGACTTTGATGTAATGTTTATGTTCAACTTTAATACATTAATTTCTGTCATCTTTTTGATTTGCAGATTGCTCTGGGAACAGTTACTAATGTGGAAGAAGCAGTGAAGTGGATAAGTTACACTTATCTTTATGTACGGATGAGAGCAAATCCATTAGCATATGGCATCAGTCACAAGGCTTATCAGGTAGAAAACTCATTTATTAAAAAAAAAATTCAGACCTTCTTTTTGGTTCTTTCATGATATGAGGATAGATATTTGTTTGCTGCTCTTGCCTCATCTGAAAAGAGGTACCTAGAAGAAAAACAAGAGATTTAATATTTTTCAAAAAATTAGATAGGCCCCTGTAGTTATTAGGCAGGCTATATTTAAATATCTTTTTCTACAAATACTTATGTTAATCTTTGTACTATTATCCATGTATTCAGGTATATTTCTATTTGATATTAATATTTTGGTGTGATTTTTTAAACTGTGAGAAATTTCGTTTTAGAATAAATTAGACATGAGGAAACTTATAGACCATATTTGATAATCAGCTTAGGTTATATACAATCTGTTCCTCTTATCAAGTCTCTTCTAATCCCTATTCTGAAATTTAAATATACCATTAAGGAGTTACTATCTTAACAGTTTGAGGACTGGAATCAGTTCCACTATTCAAGTCCATATACATAGACTGAGAATTAGATGCATTTGATAGCAGTTCTTCCTATGAACTTCACAATTGTGTGGTCCGTGTGGCTTATAGATTCTGTGAAATCTTGTCTTTCCTTTATAACTCTGCTTCATATATTGTAAATGTGTCCTAATTGCAGATAAAATCCAGTTGTTGTCTAATGAAAACATTATTCTACAATGATCATATGGATATTAACTAGTATTAAGTCAAAATTTGTATAAGTTGAACTTTATTCAAAATTATAGTTTCCCCTAATTTACTATGACTTAGTTTTTATATGAATCCTATTGTGTTATCAAAGCAGTTACCAATTTTTAAATTTTTATTTCTTTTATTTTTTTCTTTCCCTATGCAGTAGATTTTACCATGGGAAAATTGAAACTTAAGGCTTGCGGGAGGAAAAATAAGAAAAGCAGCAGCAGCAATTAGTTCTGAGGCTGTTAAATCTAAAGCCGTTATTAGGTTTTTATACTTAGATTTACTCTAGATGGGACTCACCTACCTTTCTTTGTCTCAGTTGAAATTTGTGCTAATCTTTAAATGAATGTTTACATTTACAGCCAAATTGCTCTGTTATAACATATAACTGCATTATAACCTGTAACCTTACACATTTAAAGAATATGGCACTAGTTATTCCCATCACAAATATGGGCATTTTGAGAAGACCCAGTGGCACTATGAAAATGTTTTGAAGGAGTAAAGAAAAACAAAAACTAAACAATTTATTTTTACGGACTAAGCCATCTCAAATTTTGGAACAAGATAAATACATCAATTGACTTTAAAGTACTAGGTTATAATCAAAAGTCATTTGCCTTTCATTTTCCAGTATAAAGACCTTTTGGATACATAGTACCTTTATACGTCAGAAAATCTTGACCCTTTTTTTTTTTTTTGATTTGTGTGTTTTAATGTTATTACTCAATACAAATTTGTGGCCACAAAACTCTTATGAACTAACACAGATAAAACAGTTTAGCATATTTTTGATGGTTTAGTAATAGGTGATTAATAAAATAGTTTTATAAGTTGAACCTGATACATATATTATCACTCATAGCAAACATTTAAGACTTTTTGTATTTGCTGATGTAACTCTTGACTCCATCTTACTTCCCTGCAGTTGATATTCTTTTGCTCCATTTTCCTGATTTTTAAAATTTATTTTAGCTATATTTTGTACATAAATAAGCTGCCATAAATATCTAAGTTAGAACAAATGGTAGTAGTGTTAACTCATTAATTGATTTCTAAATTGTTTTAATACTCCCCCTACTCCATTAAAGGTCATATTTCACTTTACTCCTCATGACTACAGAGTGTTCCTTAATAATTGGCATGTGTACATACATATATTTATACACAATACTATAGTAACAAGAATATTTGTTAATATCTTATGTTTTATTATTTCTGCTTAGAAAAAGTATTAGATAAGTAATAGTTTTAAAACTATACAAAAATTCACTGTCAACTTTATTTACTTTAGAATGGGTTCTCCCATCTGCATATAATAATAATAAAAGTAAAAAGTAAGTAAAGTGAGCCAAGATCACGCCACTGCACTCCAGCCTCGCTCTGTCGCCCAGGTTGGAGTGCAGTGGCATGATCTTGGCTCACTGCAACCTCTGTCTCCTGGGTTCAAGTGATTCTCCTGCCTCAGCCGCCTGAGTAGCTGGGATTACAGGCGCGCACCACCATACCCAGCTAATTTTTGTATTTTTAGTAGAGATGGGGTTTCTCCTTGTTTGTCAGGCTGCTCTGAAACTTCTGACCTCGTGAGCCGCCCACCTTGGCCTCCCAAAGTGCTGGGATTACAGGTGTGAGCCACTGTGCCCGGCCGGATAACTTTGCAGTTCTAAATATATCTTGATTTTGACAGGGAAAGCATTCTTGCTATCATTTCTCCAAATAACTGATAATAAAGTAGGAATATGATTTGACAATTTAAAATCCCTATTTACTTTAGTATGGGAGAAAGAAGACAATTATTGAGTTTTTAAAATTTGATTTTTAATCTTTGTGATTTTAAAGATCATAAGATCATATAAGAATTTTAGATTCCAAAATATTGGTATCTGAAAAGAATATGCACATTGATAATTTTAATGAATTTTTAAGCTTCCTTTATTTAATGGCATAAAATATTTTCAATTATTTCCTAAATGTAGAAAAATGTACTTTAAAAATTGTAATTAAAAAGTCTAACTAAAACATTAAGAAAAGTTTTAATTTCCATAAATAAATATATGTTTGCAAATGGTTACTCTCTAAAGCACTATTCAACTGTTTATATATTTTTTGCCATAGATTGACCCAACATTAAGAAAGCATCGAGAACAGTTGGTCATTGAAGTTGGACGAAAACTAGACAAAGCTCAGATGATTCGTTTTGAGGAGCGAACTGGATATTTTTCCTCAACTGATTTGGGTAGAACTGCCAGCCATTACTATATTAAATACAACACCATTGAGGTATTATACTAATGCAAATATGTTTGATTTTAGATGCAAATACTTTCTAGACTTCAAAATATATTATTAATGTAAAATAATGAAAGCAAATAATAGAACAAAATCCATTTAACTTATATGAATTCAACAGTATACCCTCAGTAAAGACAAGAAAAAAATAAAACTTCAGATACTAAGGAACCTCTTGTCATCCTATTCAATGAGTGTATCCCAAGCAATAAACACACCCAAGCCTAAATAGTCAAGGCACATTTGCTTTTACATGTAACGGTTTTCAGAAAACACCTCATGTGCTTACTAACTTTCCCCCGTCTTTCCCCAAATAAACCTTCTATTTGTATAGCACTTTAGGTTTCTTCAAAACCTTTAAACATATATTATCTCAGAACTATGATCCGGTTGAAATCAATCCAACACGTTGTCTCTGGCTTTTCACTCCTTCCATCACCTATTCACATCCACTCATTTTGTCAAAGTAACTTTTTAAATTTGTTCACTTGCTAGTGTGTTGCTACCACTCTATATCCTAAACCTGTTTGCTGTTCTTTTGCAGGAACTTTAGGCATTCTTTAGCATTTGTCTTCAATCTATGTGGCCTTTGACTGATTTTTTTCAACTCAGTTTTCTAATTTTCTGTATGTCCTCACTAGTAATATTTTGAGAATTTTCAGACTACATATTTTCTAGATATACATCTCTGAATTTTATGATACATGATCAGCTTAGAATTCGTGAATTGTGCAGATTTCCACATGGCCATGCTGAAAATAAGCACAAACCAGAATTTTATTAACTTTTTAAAGGTATCTAGTGTAGATGTTATTAACTTTTATTCACCATCCATCTTTTTGCTGCTAAAGATCTTCCTTAGCTAATTATGTTCTAGGAATTTTCTTTGGTCTTTGATAAATTTGTTGATGTTTATAAAGCAGTGACTTTAAATACTGTAACACAGACATTATAACTGCACTGTCTAGGGCTCAAATTTCTTTTAAAATGTGTAATTTATAGTCACATTTTTAATTTAAAATATTTAAAATATTTTTATTTTAATCAAATATAACACTTACTTTGGTAGACCTTTAATGAACTCTTTGATGCTCACAAAACAGAAGGTGATATCTTTGCCATAGTCTCCAAAGCTGAAGAATTTGATCAAATTAAGGTAAGATTTCTTGAAATTTGAATCAAATGCATACAACATGTATGCATTCATTCATTTATAAAAGGTTCTCATTAATACCATATAAGCTGTATGGCACATCACATTTGGAATATCAGCAATGTTCTTCATTTAACAATAAGACCCACTGTCCTAGATTATAATATTACATCATACCTGACATCATTCTTTTCTCTGTACTCCACATCAAATAATTTAAATTGGTTTTGCAGTAATGAAACTGTTGAAGAATGTAGTATGAAGATTTTGGTTTATTGCAATATAAGGCTCATTGAAGAAAATGTAAAAGTACCTGTATGATTCAAACCTTAGATATGAGTATTTCTGTACCTGTATTAATATTTAATCTTATTAACAGTGAAAACTTTAATACTTTGAATCATAGTACTTCATGGCTTTAAGCTATGAATGTATTATACCATATAAAAATATATGACTATAATGAATGCATTTGAAGATAATTCAAGTTGCCCTAATCCAGTTGGGCAGAGGTTTTACTCTGGTCAAATAAAATATGAAATCTCATCAATTCAAGGATGGTGAGGTCAGAAGATTTAATTTTTTGGCATATCAAATTTTTATATGTCAATGGCAAATTTAATATTGGTGATGAATAATAAAATGTAATTGTATCAGCCTCAAGATCATTTCATATTGCAGTTTTTTAGCTACCTATGGAAAAATCATTGTTATTTAACTCTATGAAAGAAAAATGCTGCATTATAGTAAATGGAAACTCTTTAAAAACATGCAATGTATTTAATTTCAATGTGAAAAATTTAAATAAATCAGCCCCAAAATTCCAATAAATACATTGATTCTTCTAGGTCAGAGAAGAGGAAATAGAGGAGTTAGATACCTTATTAAGCAATTTTTGTGAACTCTCCACTCCTGGAGGTGTAGAGAATAGTTATGGGAAAATAAACATCTTACTTCAAACTTATATCAGCCGAGGAGAAATGGACAGTTTCTCCCTTATATCAGATTCTGCATATGTTGCACAGGTAAGTATCTTATTCCCTTCCAGTTTTCTCTTCCTTGAATATATTTAGAGGACCAAGGTGTTAATTCATGCTGTGCTATGAATGCATTGCTTTGTGACATGCTACCAAACCACCATTTTACTTAGAACTGTTTCTGCTAATTTGTAAATATTTTATGTAATCTATGCTCATAAAACAGGACTGGGGATGAGATTTGGTGACTGATAGGGCTTTTTTTGGTGATGTTGATGTTTCTTACAAAGTTTTAAAATGATACCTGATTTTTTTCTACTTTAAATGATGAATTTCATTTCTTTTACTTATAAAGTAAAAGAATATAAAGTACTTATAAAGAGAAAAGTTAAAGAATATTGCAAGCATAAAGAAAAGATTGTGGAACTTTTTTAGATTTTTACCAAATATTAGAAATAATAATATTTTTAATCATTAAACAAGGCGTAGTAAACATATTTCCTACCATACGTTCAGTGTGATGTCTCTGGTTTTTACAAAAGTAATCTCTCCTCTCTACTGTTGAAACTTAAACATTGAGGACAGAAAGAAAATTATTCCCTAAACTACAGCTCATTTAATTTATAACTTTTAAAAAATACCATGGTATAAACTGTTCAAATATTTGTGTTTTTATATTCAAGCCCTTATGTGAAGTAAAGTAGGTTATATTTTACCCTATTTATCCTTCAAATGAAAGATTTCCCTTCTAGACATACTTTTTTAAAAAAATTATTTACCTGTCAAGGCTTTTTAATTTTATTTTATTGAGTACTTCCTTTTATAAATTAAGAAGAAATTAAAGCTTAATTTTATTTTAAATATGGAAATGATTCTGCTGTTATATTTGTAATTTTGTTCAAAGAAAGACTAAATATAGAAAAAGAATGTTTGTGTTAAATATATCATTATTAATAGCCATGAGTACTCAGGAGTCCTTTAAACATGGAATATTTACAAACACAAACCAAGACATATTGGTAAACATTTTGAATGCATGTAGTAATTTAATCAATGTAACCAAGATACCAGGTTATATAATTCATAAATTATATAAAGTTAATATAGATGTAGTGAAAATATTTATATATTCTTTAAACCCTATAGCTTCTATAGGAATAATTTTCTAATCTCCTTTGTTTTATCTGTTTTTCTGTAAAGTAATGTAATATTGTCATTTTATATTTTCTAATGATTTTATATTGAAATAGTTAATCATTTAAATAAAAGGTAAAGTTTTACTGGGTTCTGGATGAATAATCTGGCAACATTTCTGCTTGCTTCAAGATTATGAAGATATTATCAGAGACTGACATAAGAATTGCTTACAATGTAAAACTTTAATTCTCTTCATGATTGGTATCCAGGAAGTCAACTTCTGATTAAGGATATCTCAAAGCATCCCTGTTTTTTCTTAAACAGCCATTATGGATTTAGCATCCCTGAATGCATCAGATAAATTATACTTTATTACATTTTAAGTTTAAGCTATCAGTAATTGAACAACTACTCTCTCAACTCTGTAAAATGATATTTTCTTCTATATTTTTTAAACTTTCTCTCCTCAGCCCCTAAGGTAAACCTATAGCTCAAATATTCTAGGATTTTATTTAAAGGCCTATGCTTAACTTTTCTAGACTGTACATGTTATAGACTTATTATTTTGAACCAATTTATATCATTCTAGATTAACATGTCCTGTTTGTATCTTGTCATATGGAATTTCTCCTACTTCTTTTAGCATTGAGGGGATAACTGTAGATCCTGAAATATTAAAATGACATACTTTCAAAGGCAGGAAAATTAGCCTGATAGTTTTTTGTAAGAACAAGTGGGAATGAGGTAGGAAAACCTATTTGGTAGATACAGTAATCAAAATTTTATTTATTATTCTCTGGGCCTTATAAAGACCCATTCAGTCATTTTTAATGGATATCAGAACTGTCCTCATACTTCTATCTACCATTTTGTACTTTAATTTCTAATACTGAAACAAAATAGTCAAATTTATCAAAAGACAGCGCATATCTTATATAAAATGTGAAATGAAAGCCTTTAACTCATCTGTCATTTTTGACTTCATAATTTTAGGCTGGATTGTTTGTCTGCCATTTGAAATCTTTTCAGTTTTGTATCTCTTGTTTGGATTTTAACCAGACTGAACATTCTTTATTTTCAAATACAGATGTTACTGGATTTTGGAAGGTATAAGTTCATTTAAAAAACAATCTTTAATAAAACAATCTGCAAAGTTAATGATAGAGGAGTGGAGGCAAAATAAATGGGAGCTAGCTGTAGAAATGTGAAGAAAAAGACTACATTCATTATAACTTTCTATATGTCTATTAATAAAGTTATCCTCAGACCACTGAGTCTAGAATCTCAGTTATATTTGGAGTCCTTTAGTCCTGGCTTTGAGTAGATGCTCTGACACCAACTAGCAGTGTGACCTTGGTCAAATTTTTTACCTCTTTAAGCCCTAGTATATTCATCTATAAAATCATAATATTAATATCAATTAAATGCAATTTTTGTAAAAGTTAAATGAGGCAATATATGTAAAGCAAGTTAACACATTGTTTGGTTTATAGGAAGCCATTTGTATGGCCCTTTCATATGAGTAGCTACACTAATCAGTATTTCATTTGTCACCCTTCTCTCATTATTTTTTTTCCCTATCAGGATCCCAGTCTTCCTTAATCCTCTAAATAGCCTTGTAAATTTAATCATTCCACTATTCACCAAGAGGCGTCCTTGTCTCTTATAGTCAGATGCCTTAACAGCCTCCTAAATATTTTGCATGCCTTTTGTCTCTTCCTACTTCATTCCTGTTTAGAAGGTAGAGCTTTCTAAGAACTTGGAAATAAGGCTTCCCCTCTGAGAGTAAGCAAGTAGCATCCACATATAAAGGATAGGATTATTCTTATGTAGAAATAATAAGATAATTAGGATTATATGAGAAAAGATATTGCCCCACAATTCAAGGATGCAGCTTGACTTGCACTTCTTTTCAGACTGAGTTTGAATAATAGATTTATTGACAAATTTAAAAGCACATTGGGTATAACCACCAATCTCCTCCTATAATTTTTTAGAATGCAGCTAGAATTGTCCGTGCTCTTTTTGAAATTGCTCTGAGGAAACGTTGGCCTACCATGACCTACAGGCTCCTGAATCTTAGTAAAGTCATTGACAAGAGGCTTTGGGGTTGGGCTAGCCCTTTGAGACAATTTTCAATCCTACCACCACACATCCTAACAAGATTAGAAGAAAAAAAGCTTACTGTGGATAAGCTGAAAGACATGAGGAAAGATGAAATAGGTAAGAAGGAAGCAAATATGTTTGAATGTATTGTTTTGTGCAAATAAAATATGTTGCTGGGTGTAAAAGAAGGTATTGTGAATTTCCACATTAATCAAAATAAAAATTTTACCGTATTTATAAATCTTTTTCATTTATCTAAAATCAAGCGAAAATCTCTTTATATTCAAGTGAGTCTGTTTATAGTAGTTTAAACACTATCAAGTCTCAGTAATTTTAAGCACCCTATTAATAGCTAAAGAAACCTTGATACTGACTTTAAAAACTGTGAATTGCTAATTCAAGTTAACTATTACAAAATATTCAAACATGCCAGGTCAAGAATGTCAGCTATTCTACATAGCAAATCATAAAACAAGCAATAAAATCACCTTCTCTGAAATCCCATTTACAAGTCAGATTATATTGCTTTTTTCTGCCTGGACACATTTCTTCTATGTGATATTTTTCTTGCAGGTCACATTTTACATCATGTGAATATTGGACTGAAGGTCAAACAATGTGTTCATCAGATTCCTTCTGTTATGATGGAAGCATCCATTCAGCCTATCACAAGGACTGTCCTCCGAGTGACACTCAGCATCTATGCTGATTTCACTTGGAATGATCAGGTAGAAGTGGAAAACGGCTATATCTGTGTTAAACAAAAATATCTGTACTACAGACTCAACTACATCTGTTCCTAAGGCATATAGAAAATCCTCTAAAAAGAATATATATTGAGGATTTATTTTAAAAATTATAGCAATTAGCCGGGCATGGTGGTGGGCACCTGTAGTCCCAGCTACTCGGGAGGCTGAGGCAGGAGAATGGCATGAACCCGGGAGGCCTGAGCTTGCAGTGAGCCAAGACTGTGCCACTGCACTCCAGCCTGGGCGACAGAGCGAGACTCTGTCTCAAAAAAATAATAATAATAATAGTAAAAAATTATAGCAATATTTATTCTCATCCTCAAGAAAACCATGGTATATTAGTAATATGTCAACGAGTGAGATTCCTTCAAAACATTTAGGAAACCTAAATTTCAACAATGAACAACAGTTTAGTGGATTTAACTCCATAGAGATTTTGCTATATTAGTTCTATCTTCTTTTATTTTCTCTATGTTATCTTCATTTTTGCCATGTCTACTTTGTCATTTTAGCCTTCCAAAAAATTCAAGATTTTTCATGGTAAAAAGAGCCATTTTTCATCTTGATGTCTCTTAAATTAATATTCTTTCCTTTTTTGAAACATTAGACTTGTAGAAAAGTATTCTATATTTTCCCCCAATCACCTGTTTCTTTGCTGCTGAGACTACTTTCTCCATGATCTCCAAAGACTGATGGGTTGCCATAATAAATAGATTTTTCTCAGTTATTTTCTTTACTTCTCTGAATATTTAACACTATACAGTTTTTCAAAATGTCCATCCTTGATTCCCATCATGTTTTTGTTTCTGTTTTAATTCCTTCTTCTCCTTTGATAGCTTAGATATTATTATGTATATAAAGATACACACCAGATTCTCTTTTTATTCAATCAACATTTTTTAAAGATCTATTTTTGTACCAGTTACTATGTTAGAGATTGTAGGTACAAAGGCAAGTGAGGCTCAGTTCTTACATTCAAGAAGCCAATCAGGGAAAACAAGGAAGTCACTATTTATAGTATAGCAGTGCCTATTTCACACGTTATTGTAAAGTTCTAATTAAATAAGTATCTTCTGCATTACCTGATGTTTATACATCTTTAATGTCAATGAATTTTAACAGTATGCTCTAAAATTACCCAACCATGGTTTTAACCCAATTCTACGTTGGTCTTAAAAGTGTCTAAACCTTTAATTCCTTTAGTTTCCTCAGCTATAAACATTATTATTATAATAATAATAATGTTTTTTACAGAATTTTCATTGGGACTAGATGATACAAAATTATATTTAATATTTCTATAGATATAAAGTTTCACATAAATATAAATTTACAGTTACCCATAAACTCATATTTGAAATTTTAATAGACTATTTTTGAAATAAGTGGAAGTTTTGTATTTCTTACACTGTCTCCTACCAATATCTGTAATAAATCTGCAGTTTGATTTAATTCATTAGTAAGACAGAGTACTTAATGATTTTAATAGTTACCACTGTCAGGCACAATGCTGTTGGCTTCAAGAATGGAAAACTTGACTTGCCTCAAGCTGAGTTAAGGACGAAAGTATATTATCTTTCATAATGAAAGGTCCACAGGTAGAATAGGCCCTAAGGATGGTTGAGTCTTCTGTTTAAAGATGTCATTCAAAGACCAGGAACTTTTCACCCATTTGCTCTGCTGACACTTTTGGGTACTTCTCAAATGTTTTCAGGATTTTTTGTTTGCATTAAACAGAGCATGGGAAACACATCCCCACTTCTCCAGCCCAGAACATGGACCATAGACCTTTTCTTCAGTCTAATTGGGCCAGTATTTGTCATGTGCCTCTGCCTTACCACAGCAGTTGGGAGGGGAATCCCATGAGCTGATTGACTTATGCCAATCAAAATTATCCCAGGGGATGTGGTCACTTTTTCTTGAGTCACATGAGGGAGAGATGCTTGCTGAACAAGACTGGGTTCTGCAAGGAAGAGCGAGACAGAGAGAGTAAGAGAGAGAGAAAGACATTGAAATGGATAAAGCAAAATACAGTATATCTATCCAATGGGATATTATTAGACAATAAAAAGGAATGAAAGCATTGATGCATGCTAAAACATAGATGAACTGTGAAACCATCATGGTAAATTAAAAACTCCAGTCACAAAAGACTGCATATTATATGATTTTATTTAATTGAAATTTACAGATTAGGCAAATCTGTAAGGAAAAGGTAGTGACTACTAATGGGTACAAGGTTTCTTTTTGAGGTGGTGAAAATGTTCTAAAATTAGATTATGGTGATGGTTGTACAACTTTGGAAATATATTAAAATCATTTAACTGTATACTTGAAATGTTTAAATGAGTAAACTTTGTAATATAAATGATATATCAATAAAGCTTCTAGAGTGAGAAGATTGGATGCTATCCCTTATTTGAGTTATGATATGCATAGTAGCAGGATGCTATTTTTCTTCTAGGTACATGGGACAGTAGGAGAACCTTGGTGGATTTGGGTAGAAGATCCTACAAATGATCATATTTATCATTCAGAGTATTTTCTAGCTCTAAAAAAACAAGTAAGTGTATATATGTGAATATATCCTTATTTGCTATTGTAAAAAAAATTATACTAACAGTTTCTGCTTTTATTTCTCTGTAATTTTATAGTACAATTAAAACTTTATTTTATGTTTTAGTTTCCTATTAGTTTTAAAAGAATACAGTGATTAAATGTTATAGTATTGGTATATTCAATGTGATCATGGTTTAAGAAATTCACTTACCAGTAATGCCCCACATAGTGACATTTCAGTGAACAAGGGACCACATACACAACAACAGTACAATAGTGGTCCCATAAGATTATAATACTGTATTTTCACCTACTTTTTCTAGGTTTAAATATGTGTAGATAGGTAAGTACCATTGTGTTATAATTGCCTAAAATATTCAATACAATAACATGCTGTATGGTAACATGCTGTATAAGAGCAGTAGGCTTTGCCATGTAACCTAGATATTTAGGAGGCTATACCATCTGGCTTGTCTACGTACACTATGATGTTCTTAAGACAAAATTACGTAATGACACATTTTTCAGAACCATTCCTGTCATTAAGCAATGCATGACTGGATAATCTTTACCATGGTTTAAGACCTGGGTTCCAGAGGTGTAGAATATGTAAAATAGGTAGGATCAATAATAATCTTAAGGGTCACATGCACAAAATACTGAATACTATTGGATTAAAAGAGCATTTCTTCTAAATTTCTTTATAAATCACAAGACAAAGACTCAATTTGATGGTATTTCTTTAACTGATGCTTCATTCGTAATTTCTGTTTTTATCAAAGATAAAGCAAGCTTCAGGTAAGAGTCTTGGGTAGGCAACAGTAGAATTTCATAGCAGCGTTTTGTATTCATTGCTTTTGTCTGCTTGGTTACCTTCTATTTGTACCAAGTGATTGCGGTATTCCATTTTAGGTACTGATAGAACTTAACAAAAAATATTAAGTAAACAATATGGTAATTCGGTAAGGTAAAAATCATGAAGTTATGTAATTGAATGAATGATGTTTGGGAAATTCAGGTAGTCAAATTGGTAACTTGTTAATACATGATTATATGCATATGTAAATAATATAAATTAGCCATAAAATTTTACCTTCTATCAGGTATCCTCAGAAGGGCACCATGCACAATTTTCTAAAGTTTCCGAATATCTCAGCTATTTACAAATTCAAGATACTTTGTCTTTAGTATATCTTGTAGAGATACCGTTATCTTAACAATAGACTAATAAGGCCTTTATGCTATTAGAATATCCATATTTATTTTTGACTGTATTTCATATTAGGTCATTAGTAAAGAAGCCCAACTACTGGTATTTACAATCCCTATTTTTGAGCCTTTGCCTTCCCAATACTACATCCGAGCAGTGTCTGATAGATGGTTGGGTGCTGAGGCAGTATGTATTATCAACTTTCAACATCTAATTCTACCAGAGAGACATCCTCCTCATACAGGTAACATGGTGAATGCTGATTTGAATCATTGATTTTTCCAAAATGGTTGTTTTAATTAATGTTGAAAAATGTCTACACCGTAATAAAGTTTTACTTGTAATCATTATAACTTCTCTATAACTCCCTTTTTATTTCATTTGTCATTCATCATTTAATCTGTTCTCTCTGTAAAACTTTTATTTTCTCCCTTGCGTTTATTCCAGTTTACTTAAACTTATTTCTAGTATGTTAAATTAACTAACATACCAGTGAGTTATGGGGAATTTCCCCCCATCTTTTGTGTTTCTACACCAAAAACAAAAAAGCTAATATTAAGGAATCATATTATGGTATCACTATGGAATGGATTTCCACATACCTCAAGTGAGTTTGTGTCCTGCAAATAACATCTACCCTTTATATTAGTTTTTTTTTTTTTTAATACTTTAACTTTTAGGGTACATGTGCACAATGTGCAGGTTTGTTACATATGTGTACATGTGCCATGTTGGCGTGCTGCACCTATTAACTCGTCATTTAACATTAGGTATATCACCTAATGCTATCCCTCCCCCCTCCCCCCACTCCGCAACAGGCCGCGGTGTGTGATGTTTCCCTTCCTGTGTCCATGTGTTCTCATTGTTGAATTCCCACCTATGAGTGAGAACACGTGGTGTTTGGTTTTTTGTCCTTGCGATAGTTTACTGAGAATGATGGTTTCCAGCTTCATCCATGTTCCTACAAAGGACATGCACTCATCCTTTCTATGGCTGCATAGTATTCCATGGTGTATATGTGCCACATTTTCTTAATGCAGTCTGTCATCGTTGGACATTTGGGTTGGTTCCAAGTCTTTGCTATTGTGAATAGTGCTGCAGTAAACATACATGTGCATGTGTCCTTATAGCAGCATGATTTATAATCCTTTGTGTATATACCCAGTAATGGGATGGCTGGGTCAAATGGTATTTCTAGTTCTAGATCCCTGAGGAATCGCCACACTGACTTCCACAATGGTTGAACTAGTTTACAGTCCCACCAACAGTGTAAAATAAAAAACCCCATCAACAAGTGGGCAAAGGATATGAACAGACACTTCTCAAAAGAAGACATTTATGCAGCCAACAGACACATGAAAAAATGTGCATCATCACTGGCCATCAGAGAAATGCCAATCAAAACCACAGTGAGATACCATCTCACACCAGTTAGAATGGCGATCATTAAAAAGTCAGGAAACAACAGGTGCTGGAGAGGATGTGGGGAAATAGGAACACTTTATATTAGTTTTATCCCTCTGCCCTAACATTATAAAGGGGTACGTGGTAATCTTCAACATCATACAATAGTGTTTTTCACTGTCATACCTTGCAAAAATCCATTTTAAATTTTGGTGACGTGAACAAATACCTTTTTATTTTGACTTAATATAGAAGCAGATTTTTCAGGAATAAATGTTTACAATGATACTTTTAAGTGCCCTATGAAATACTCTATTTCAAAAAATCCTAAACTAATCTGTTAATTAACTAGTATAATAAGTTTATTTCTTCTTTTTCAGAATTGATTTTAAGAGGGCCTTAATTTATAGAAAAATGAAAGTCCATATTTTTTCTCATATGGTTCTTCCAAAGAGAAACCCTTTGTCATTTTCAGAATAAAAATATAGTCCTCACTACTTTTAATGAACTCATTATTTGGCAGTCCTTTGGGAATTGAAAGAGGTCTTAATGTGACTTTAAACTTTGCCATTTTTGTCAAATGTGTACCCTATTCATTATCTTAGCTTATCTTAAAGAGAGATACTTTATACTTTGGCTTAATTCCACTTTGATATCTTGGCAGAACAGAACTAAAAGGCTTGTCAACATAGAAAAATAATGAGATTGTAGTATCTAGTGATCTACTCATTGAAGGGAATCTTTCCAGTCTTCTTTCATCAAGTGTGCTACATGTAATATTTAGAATCTCAGAATAAAATATATAAAAAATGTTTGGTGCTTTAATTTAAAATACATGCTTCAAACATCATTAATCTTTGAGTATAGCACTTGATCTTAACTTGCGTTAACATTCTATTTCAATGTTCATTTTATCTTTTGTCTGCCAAATGACCAAGAATGTATCACCCTATTTATATAATTAGCTGAGTTCTGACTACAATTTTAAAAACAATAAATGTACCACCATAACATCTCAGTTGATATTAGACATATACAAAGTAACCTCAATGATTCCAGGGTCTCTTTGAATATATAGTCATTATCATTGAGCCCAAATGAGCCAAGAAAAACCTTCATCTTTCACTAATGTAAAGCACTGTAATTTAACATCATCAGTAAATATGCAATATGCAGTTTATTTATTTATTTATTTTTTAGTCTTTTTAAGAACATATCTCGGCTTTGATTAGCATTACAAGCATTAACTTGCAATGCCTCCCCTCCTTCCTTCTCTATTATTTTTTATTCATTTTATTTTATTTGTGAGACAGAGTTTCACTCTTTCACCCAGGCTGAAGTGAAGTGGGATGATCTGGGCTCACTGCAACCACCACTCGCCGGGTTCAAGCGATTCTCCTGCCTCAGCCTCCCGAGTAGCTGGGATTACAGGCGCCCACCACCACGCCCAGTTAATTTTTGTATTTTTAGTAGAGATGGGGTTTTGCCATGTTGGCCAGGCTGTTCTCGAACTCCTGACCTCAGGTGATCCATCCGCTTCGGCCTCCCAAAGTGCTAGGATTACAGGCTTGAGCCACCGCTCCCGGCCTCAATTTTCAGTGCTTCAGAAAATTTAAGAAACCTACAGTCTGGTGTAGAAAGTATGTCGTTAGCCCTCAGTTACCTATGTAATTAACTGAATAGAGCAGTGGGGAAAGGATAATTTTTTAAATTAATTTTTTGACTTTTAAAGACATTTTTTAAGAAGAAAATTTGCCATACTTTCATTTTGAAACAGTACCATGAACATCTAACTCAAGGTACAGAATACTATGTTACCTTATGGATTATTTCTTCTTGTTCAAATTTCAAATGACTGGATTTATCTTTCATGAAATAATCTTGAGAGTAAAGTGGCCTTCTGGTTTTCTAACTGATACCTTTCTGGATTATGGAAAATATAAGGTCTGTTGAATTCAAGGGTGTATAACTGTTTCTCTAAATTATTTTGTTTCTAATTCCCTAGGCCTCCCATCCACATAATAAGAAACAACTAAATCTAGTTTCTTTCTAGGTTTTCTCAGGGCAGGTTTTGTTTACTCAGTCATGCTTTGCTTTAAAACTCCCACCCAATTTTCTACCTGGAATTACCCTAAATTCATTTTACTTTCCATTGACAACAATAGTTAACTCAACTGCTCTTGCTTGGTCAGTGTCTAACAGAACAAAAGTAATTCGTTGTTAGTAATCATTTCAGTGTTGAAGTCTGCAAATGGTTTTAATTTTTTTACCACTTGAGACAGATTTAGGTTTTGTTCTATAACATGCATATACTTGTTATTCAAATGACTTTCCTGATTGGAAAAAGAAGGATATGGCATTATAGTTGGCTTATAGGGCACTCCCCCAGAAAAGCATCCAGTATGTCAATATGGTAAATGTGGTTACTTGCGTGACATATTTGTTGAAATGCCAGATCTGTAATGGGTATATAAGAGTTTGTGTTTTTTCTCCTTGTCTAAGGAACTAAGGATTACTATAATCTATTATTTATAATACAGTATTCAGTATTATGCGTGTTTTTCAATTGTCGTATAGCCATCCTGTTGGGTCTTTTCAGAATTACTGGATCTTCAGCCTTTACCAATCACAGCTTTGGGATGTAAAGCATATGAAGCCCTGTACAACTTCAGCCACTTTAACCCTGTACAGACACAAATATTTCATACATTGTATCACACGGATTGTAATGTCCTACTTGGAGCACCTACTGGATCGGGAAAGACTGTTGCAGCTGAATTAGCCATTTTCAGAGTCTTCAACAAATACCCTACTTCAAAGGTCTGTTGAAAGAATCATACTTACATTTAATTAGAAAAGACAGTTCATAATCTCTAAACTAGACAGTTCTAAATATATTGGCAGGGTCTAATGAATAGATTTGTCACTCTCAGTGAATTTCCCAGGGGACCAGATCAGTACAGATATACCGTGAAGATATCATGAGTTTGGTTATATACTACCACAATATAGTGAATGTCACAATAAAGCAAGTCATACAAATTTTTTGGATTCCTAGTGCATATAAAAATTCTGTTTATACTATACCATAGCCTATTAGTGTGTAATAGCATTATGCCTAAAAATATACATAGCTAAATTTGAAAATACTTTATTACTAAAAAATATTATCAATCATCTCAGCCTTATAGTGAGTCTTAATCTTTTTGCTAGTGAAGGGTTTTGCCTCAATGTTGATGGCTGCTGACTGATCATGGTTGTGGCTACTGAAGGTTGGAGTAGCCGTGGTCATTTCTTAAAATAAGACAATGAAGTTTGCCACATTGATTGACTCTTCCTTTCATGAAAAATTTTTCTGTAGCATGTGATGCCGCCTGATAGCATTTTACCCACGATAGAACGTCTTTCAAAATGAGTCAACCCTCTCAAACCCTGCCACTGCTTTCTGAACTAAGTTTATGTAATATTCTAAATCCTTTTTGTCATTTCAGCAATGGTCACAGTATCTTTGTCAGTAGATTCTATCGCAAGAAACACCTTTTCTTTGCTCATCCATGAGAAGCAACTCCTCATCTGTTCATTTAATCATGAGATTGTAACAATTCAGTTATATCATCAGGCTCCACTTCTAATTCTAGTTCTCTTGCTGTTTCCACCACATCTGCAGTGCCTTTCCCTATTGAGGTCTTGAACCCCTCAGTCGTCCGTGAAGGGTGGAATCAACTTCTTCCTAACTCCTGTTAATGTTGATATTTTGACCTCCTTCCAAGAATCATGAATGTTCTTAATGGCATCTAGAATGGTGAATTCTTTCCAGAAGATTTCCAACTTACTCTGCCCAGGTCCATCAGAGGAATCACTATCTACGGTCTTATGAAACATATTTCTTAAGTAAAAGGATAGGAAAGCCAAAATTACCCCTATATCCCTGGAGTACAGAATAGATGTTATGTTAGCAGGCATGAAAACAACATTCATCTCTTTGTACATGTCCATCAAAGCTTTGGAGTGTGATTAGATGTATTGTCAATGAGCGTCACATTTTGAAAGGAATCTTTTTTTCTAAGCAATAGGTCTCAACAGTGGGCTTAAAATATTCAATAAACCATGCTGTTTAGTAGATATGCTGTCATCCAGGCTTTGTTGTTCCATTTATAGAGCACAGGCAGAGGTGATTTAGCATAATTCTTAAGGACCCTAGAGTTTTCAGAATGGTAAATGAGCATTGGCTTCAACTTCAAGTCACCAGTTGCATTAGTCCCTAACAAGAAAGTTAGCTCCTCCTTTGAAGCTTTGAAGTCAGGCATTGACTTCTCCTCTCTACCTGTGAAAGTCCTTGATGACATCCTCCTCCAATATTAGGCTATTTTGTATACATTAAAACTCTGTTGTTTATTGTAGCCACCTTCATCAATTATCTTTGCTATATTTTCCAGATAACTCGCTGCAGCTTCTACATCAGCACTTTCTGCTTCACCTGGCACTTCATAGAGGTGAATTCTTTAAACCATGTGAAACAAGCTTCAAACTTTTCTTCTGGAGTGTCCTCACCACTCTCAGCCTTCACAGAATTGAAGAGAATTTGGGGCTTGCTCTAGAGTAGGCTTTAGGTTATGGAAATATCGTGGTTGATTTGATCTTCTGTCTACACCACTCGGACTTTCTCCGTATCGGGAATAAAACTTTCACTTTCTTATCATTCATGTGTTCAATGAAGTAGCACTTTTCATTTCCTTCAAGAACTTGTCCTTTGCATTCAAAACTTGGCTAACTCCTTGGTATTAAGAGGCCTAGCTTTTTGGCCTATCTCAGCTTTCGACATGCCTTCCTCCCTAAGCTTAATCATTTCTAGCTTTTGATTTAAAGTGAGAGACATGCAACTCTTCCTTTCACTCGAACATTTAGAGGCTATTGTAGGGTTATTAATTGACCTAATTTCAATATTGTTGTGTCTTAGGGAAGAAGGAGGCCTGAGGAGAAGGAAAGAGATGGGGGAATGGCTGGTCAGTGGAGAAGTTAGAACACACACAATTATCAATTAAGTTTGTCATCTTATATGGTGTAGTTCATGACACTACAAAACAATTACAATGATAACATAAAAGATCACCGACCACAGATCACCATAACCGATATAATAATACAGAAAAAGTTAGAAATATTGGTAGAATTACCAAAACGTAACAGAGGCATGAAGTGAACACATACTGTTGGAAAAATCAATAGAATTGCTTTTGATAGAATTGCTCGATGTGGGGTTGCCACAAACCTCCAATTTGTAAAAAAACAATATCCGCAAAGTGCAGTAAAATGAGCTATGCCCATATTAGGATAATTTGCAGCAAGAAAATTTACCTTAAACTTTGTAGTCCTCCAGTTGAATTTCTAATGTATGTAGTGACACACAAATCCTTTCCTCATTGTAAGATTTCTACAATTCATAGATAATTTCACTGTGAGAAACCCACTTCATAGGCAAAGTTAAACAATACAAAGTAATTCATAATCAAATCTTTTCTGTATGAAGAAAATGCTAGTGCTTTAATATAGTTTGATTATACATATTAAATATAGAGTAGCTTTTATATGACTTCTACAAATGGCCATGATATTATTTAATATCAAATACATTACAAGTCAAGTAAGTATTGCTTTAAAGCTTTCTTGAAGCATAATTTTTTAACTCTTTCCTAGTATATATTATTTTTAATAAAAATTATGTATATTTAAGGTATACAATGTGATGTTTTGATATACATTGTCAAGTGATTACTACAGTCAAGCTAATTAACATACCTATCACTTCAAATAGTTATCTTTTTTGTGATGAGAACACATAAAATCTATTCTCTTAGCAAATTTCAAGTATATAATGCAGTGCTATTAACTGTAATCACCATGCTGTATATTAGGTGTCTAGTACTTATTCATTCATCATAAATGAAACTTTATACCTGTTGACCAGTATCTCCTCATTCCCCCATCCTCACCGCTGGTAACCAATATCCTACTCTTTCCTTCTATGAATCCAACTTTTAAAAATTCCATGTGTAAGTGAAGTTATGCAGTATTTTTCTTTCTATGTCTGGCGTATTTCACTTAACATAATGTCCCTTGGGTTCATCTATATTGTTGAAAATGGCTGATTTCATTCTTCTTTAAAGCTGAATAATATTTCATTGTGTGTGTGTGTGTACATATATATCACATATATATATATACACACACACATATATATATTACAATTTCTTTATCTATCTTGAGGCACTTAGATTGTTTCCATATTTGGGCTATTCAAAGTAAAGCTGCAATGAACATGGGAGTGCAGATATCTCTTTAAGATACTGATCTCATTTCCTTTGGATATATACCCAAAAGTGGGATTGCTGGATAGTTCTATGCTTAATTTTTAAAGAAATTCCAGATTGTCTTCCATAATGGCTGTACAGTTTACATTACCACCAATCATGTACAGTAACAGTTACCTTTTCTCCACATCCTCACCTACATGTGTGTTATTTTTTTCTTTTTTCTTTTCTTTTTTTTTTTTTTTTTTGTTTTTTGAGGAGATGGGGTCTCGCTGTGTTGCCCAGACTGGCCTTGAACTTCTGGGCTCAAGCAATCCTCCTGCCTCAGCCTCCTGAGTAGCTGGGACTACAGGTTTGTGCCACATGCCCGGCTGTCTTTTGTCTTTTGGTAATAGCCATTTTAACAGGTGTAAATTGATATCTTATTGTGATTTTAATTTGCATTTCCTTGATGATGTTATATTGAGCACCTTTTCATGTATCCAATGGCCATTTGTGTGTTTTCTTTTGGAAAAAAATATGTATTCAGATATTTTGCCCATTTTTAATTGAATAATTTGGGTTTATCTGCTATTGAGTTGTGTAAGTTTCTATTTTGGATTATAACTTTTTATTAGATATTTAGTCCCCGCTTATCCTCAGGTGATACATTCCAAAACCCCGATGGATGCCTGCAACCTGATGGTACTGAACCCATTTGGGTAGGGGGAAGGGAGAGATAAGGAGAGGATGGTTAAAGGATGCAAAATTACAGCCGAATAGAAAGAATAAATTCTAGTGTTGTATACGACTGTAGAAGGACTGTAGTTAACAATAATATATAATGTGGTTTCACATAGCTAGAAGAAGGATATTGAAGGTTCCCAACACAAAGAAATGATAAATGTTTGAGATGATGGATATGCTAATTACCCTGATCTGATCACTATACATTATATGTATCAAAACATCACTATGTATCCCATAAATATGTGCAATTATTATGTGTTAAGTAAAAACAAATAAAAAGTAAAACAAGAAATGGTATAGTAGTGCAATACTATGTTCTTTATAAATATGTACTTAAGAAAAGTGTACTAAAATTTAAAAAACACATTTTATTCATGTTTTCCACCCACAAATTTAATACCTTTTCCATCTTAACCAAGCACTTATCGTGTACTGTGGCCATAATTTTTGCAGCTTAAGGTTCAACATCAAAACTGGCACAAATTTCTTTTTTCTTTTTTTTTTTTGAGACGGAGTTTTGCTCTCGTTGCCCAGGCTGCTGGAGTGCAATGGCGCAAACTCGGCTTACCGCAACCTCCATCTCCCGGATTCAAGCGATTCTTCTGCCTCAGTCTCCCGAGTAGCTGGGATTACAGGCATGAGCCACCACGCCTGGCTAATTTTTGTATTTTTTTTTTTTTAGTAGTGACGGGGTTTCTCCATGTTGATCAGGCTGGTCTGAAACTCCTGACCTTAGGTGATCCGCCCACCTTCGCCTCCCAAAGTGCTGGGATTACAGGCCTGAGCAACCGCACCCAGCCTGGCACAAATTTCTTATGATTTCCTTCTTATGATTTCACAGATAGAATGTTTGTTCTTACCACAGATCTTAGCAGTCTCGGCATATGATTTTTTTTTCTTTTATTAAGTCAAGAACTTTCATCTTTTCACTTGAAACACTTTGTCTTCTCCTTGGCAAATCCGAGTTGCCAGTATCACTACTCTTGTGCTTTGGGGCCATTACTAAGTAATGTAAGGGCTACTTGTACAAAAGCACCGTGATACTGCCACAGTCTTTCTAGTAAACAAGACAGTTACTAAGTGACTAGTGTTTGGGGAGTGGCTACAGCCTGAATACTCTGGACAAAGGGATGATTCATGTTCCAGGCTGAATTGAGTGGGACAGTGTGAGATTCCATCATGCTACTTAGAAGGGTACATAATTTAAAGCTTATGAATTATTTCTAGAATTTTTCATTTAACATTTTTGGACCACAATTGACTACAAGTAATTGGAAGCGTGGAAAGGGAAGGCATTAAGACAGAACTAGTGTATATGGTTTGCAAATATTTTCTTTCGTTTTGTCATTTCTTTCATTTCACATTGTCTCTCTGTTGATTTTATTTATTTATTTATTTTCCATGTAGAAGCTTTTTAGTTTGTTGTACACCTATTTGTTTATTTTTGCTTTTGATGCCATGTCCCAAAAATCATCGCCAAGACCAACATCGAGGAGCTTTTTCCTTATGTTTTCTTCTAAGAATTTTGTAGTTTTAGATCTTATATTTAATTATTTAATCCATTGTGAGTTAATTTTTGTATATGGTGTATGGCAGTAGTTCTTTTACATGTGAATATACAGTCTTCCCAACATCATTCATAGAAGAGAATATCTTTTGCTTATTGTATGTATGCTTTAGGCCCTTGTTGAAGATTAGTTGACCTTGTTTGTGTGGGTTGATTTCTGGGCTCTTTTCTGTTCCACTGGTCTGTGTGCCTCTTTTTATGTCAGGTCCATACTTCCACACTGTTATGATTACTGTAGCTTTGTAATATAATTTGAAACCAGGAAATGTGATGCGTCTGACTGGTTTTCTTTCTTAAAATTGCTTTGGCTATTCAAGGTCTCTGTGCTTCCTTGTGAATTCTAGGATTTTTTTTTTCTATTTCTGTGAAAAATGCCATTAGAATTCTGATAAGGATTGCATTTAAACTGAAGATTGCTTTGGGTTGTATGACCATTTCAACAATATTAATTATTCCAGTCCATGATCATGGGATATCTTCTCATTTATTTGTCTTTTCTTCAGTTTCTCTTCAATGTTTTATAGTTTTCATTGTACAGATTTTTTACCTCTTTAGTTAACTTTATTCCTAAGTACTTTATTCTTTCTGGTGCTATTGTAAGTGGGACTGTCTTCTTTTTTTTTTTTTTTTTTTTAGATAGTTTGCTAACAGTATATATTCTACTGGTTTATATATGTTGACTTTGTGTCCTTCAAGCGTATTGAATTTGTTTATTAATTCTAACAGTTTTTTTATGTAGTATTTAGAGTTTTCTTGTTCTTAATTTTGTGAGTACATCACACTAAAATAGAAACATTTACAGAGATGTTGTGATTGGAATTATGGGCTAGTTTCTTCATCATTTATGATTTCAGGAATGTCTTAGCATCCTTTTGTAGTGTTTCCTAATTAGTGGCTTTTCTTCCCTACTTAACCCTAAGTTTTCCTACTTTTCAGTCTCTCTAATATGTGGTTATTGATCTATAGAGACATGTTAATATAACAGTAGAGCTCTACTCTAAATTAGAAACATAAAGGGAATACATTTTGTATAGGTTTGGATTACTATAGACCAGCTTTTATTTATTTTTTTGAAACCTGAATTATACTACTAGCATCTTCATAAAATCTGCATTAAAATTTAAACAATAGTTTATTTCTCTTCAAAACTTCAACATCAGTACATTTATTCATGAGTTACATACAACTCAAATAAATATTAATCATAATAATAGAAAAAATTTTTTATCAGAACCCTAATTTTCTCTTATAGTGTATTATCTCATAATTTGTTTTGTTTTTATTATGTAGAATATAATTTCATAGTAAAATGCCTGAGGAAAATACCTCTGATGCTTTTTTAAAAGTAATTTAAATTCATCTATGTTAATATTTTTTATGAATAGAATGTTTGTGATATGTTACATTTCTGTCTTATTTTGGGTAAATGTAGTTTGAGTTAATGACTTTTTCCCGTTGATTTAAAAATTTGAGTATTCAGAATTAAAAGATACATTTTCAAACCACACTGTCATATTTTGACAAATTTTTTGGAGTTTACTTTTATTTCAAAATGCTATCACTATTTTCATAAGAGTATTTTTGGCTATTCTCCCCTTTTTAGGCGGTATATATTGCACCCCTAAAAGCCCTAGTACGTGAAAGAATGGATGATTGGAAAGTTAGAATAGAAGAAAAACTTGGTAAAAAGTAAGTTCTTACTTTTACTCAAAAGATACGCTTTGAATTGACTAAAAGGACCAGGAAATAAGAGTTGAATAAAACTGTTGAATGGTTTTACAGTGATTTTCATAGTCTTTTATTTAACTGCTGAATGGTTTTACATTGATTTTCATAGTCATTTATTTAAAGATATGTACCTACTATTAAAATGATATCAATATTCCCATTGTTTTAAGATTGAAAATGAAATCTCCTAAATTACTTAATGTGAGTACTTTTATTTGGCAGGATAACTTTTTCAAAATATTTTCACTCTAAAACAAAACAAAAATAAGTTCTGCCTCTCTATTTTTTTCGTATTTTGCAGAGTAGCTTCCAGAAACTGCTTAGAAGGCATTTTGCATGTAAATTATTTGTAAAAAAGCAGAAGTTCTTTGAAAAACATGATGTGGGGTTTTTTTCATTAATAATTTAATATACTACAAGGTTATTCATTGCAGTATTATTTTAAATAGCAAAAGATTACAGAGAAACGAATTTCCAGTAGAGCATCAGTAAGTAAATTATAGTACATTCACACAATGTAAAATATTGTATTACTCTGTAAAAAAAACTATATGAATTTTTTTATACGGAAAGAATGATCTCCAAAGATAATGTAAAAAAAAAAAACAAAAAAAAAATATAAGTATCCTAGCTCATGTTTTTTCAAAATGATAAAGAATATGAACATGTGGTTCTTTTCAGAATGAGAACTAGCTGTCTATAGGATAGGGATGTTATGGAGACCATTCCCTGTATTCTTTGAACCATGTGAATATAGTCCATATTCAAAATAACATATAAAATGTAAATCTTTAAAATAAACAAGAATAGGTAAATACTTTGTGAACATTATGCTTAGAGGAACAAATTTTGCCCTTTTTCTTATTTTCCAAGTCTTAACACAGATTAGAAATTATATTAGGCTGGGCGTGGTGGCTCATGCCTGTAACCTTGGCACTTTGGGAGGCTGAGGCGGGTGATCACCTGAGAAAAGGAGTTGGAGACCAGCCTGGCCGACATAGTGAAACCCCATCTCTACTAAAAATAAAAAAGGAGCTGGAGGTGGTGGTGCATGCCTGTAATCCCAGCTACTTGGAGACAGGAGAATCACCTGAACCCGGGAGGTGGAGGTTGCAGTGAGCTGAGATCAAGCCACTACACTCTAGCCTTGGTGACAAAATGAGACTCTGTCTCAAAAAAAAAAGAAAGAAAAGAAATTATTTTAGTAATTACTTAAAATTTGATGTTAGCCCAGAGCTAATCCTATGTAATTAGGAATTCTTAGGTAATTCCTCTAGATCTACATAGGTTTTTCTTTTCCTTCTCTCTCACTATATGACTGTGATCTGCTTATAATGAGTTGGTACATATTTGCTCTGGCTTATCTTGTTTTCATCCTAATACATTTCATTTTGGCTATAAAATCTATAGAAAATTCCAATCTAAGGAAAGAAATGAGCTTGCACACAATCTAAATTACACATAATTTTAATTAAATTTACACATAATCCTAAATATTCTTAATGAATGCCTTTTTTTGTCTCCATAAAGTAACACTTTCCTTCATTAAAAAAAATTTTATTCCAACATAGGGACAAGGAAGTATGAGTTCAACTTTATAAAATCACCTAGGATGGAGTTTCTATAAACATAATTAAAGCAAAGTTTGATATCCTTGTATATCTGTATAAAAGTTAGATATGTCAGTGATTGGAATTTATATGACCTTCATTTTATGGCAAGAAATTTTCTTAGAGTTCTTAAGAAATGTACATTTTGGACTCAACTTGGAAAATTTCAAAAATCAAAGGTAGATAAAGTAATTTTAAGCCTTATAAAATTTTATTTTAAAAGAGATAGGTTTTTGCATTTCCAAGGTCATTTGTTACCTGAAAAGTTTCTGGGATCATTGTTATATTTCCCTCCAGAGTTATTGAACTAACAGGGGATGTGACTCCTGATATGAAATCCATTGCCAAGGCTGACCTTATCGTCACTACGCCAGAGAAGTGGGATGGAGTCAGCAGAAGCTGGCAAAATAGGAACTATGTTCAGCAAGTCACTATTCTCATCATAGATGAGATCCATCTGCTTGGTAGGTACCACTGTATCTAAAGCCAGTTTACAAACTTTAACTTTGTAAAATATTAATTATTAGTATTTTTAATTTGCATGTAATATTTATATATATTTCTAGGGCACAATGTGATTTTTTGATGTATGTATATAATGTGGAATTATTAAATCAAGCTAATTAACATCTATCACCTTACATATAAATTGAGGTGAAACATAAAAAATTTTCTCTTAGTGTATTAATCTGTGCTCACATTGCCATAAAGAAATACCTGAGACTGGGTAATTTATTTTTAAAAAGAGGTTTAATTGGCTCAAGATTCTACAGCTTGTACAGTAAATGTAGTGGCTCCTGCTTCTGGGGAGGCCTCAGGAAGCTTTCAATCATGACTGAAGGCAAAGCAGAAGAGAGCTTCTTACATGGCAAGAGCAGGAACAAGAGAGCAAGGTGGTGGGCGAGGTGCTACACACTTTTAAACAACTAGGTCTCATGAGAATTCACTCACTGTCATGAGAATAGCACCAAGAGGATGGTGCTAAGCCATTTAGGAGAAACAGCCCCCATGATCCTATCACCTCCTACCAGGCCCCACCTTCAACATTGGAGATTACAGTTAAACATGCAATTAGCAATTTTGCAATTTAGCAATTTTGAAATATATGATATATTTTTATTAACTGTTGTCACACTGCTGTACAATTGATCTGACAAACTTATTTCTCCTGTCCAACTGAAACATTGTACCCTTTGACCACCAACTCTCTATTCCCTTCTCTTGTGACTCCAACCCATGCCCCTAGACTCTGGTAACCACGTTTCTACTCTACTTCCATGAGGTCAGTTTTTTTTAATTCAGCATCTAAGTGACATCATGCACTGGGAGTAGGATTGCAGAATCCTTTGGTAGTTCTAGCTTTAGCTTTTTTTTTGTTTTTTTTTTTGTTTTTGTTTTTTGAGGAAGCTACAAACTCTTCCTTTTGTGGTTGCTGCAATGACCAACACAGGCTTGTTAAATGATTAACATTGATTTTTCCCTATTTTCTAGGGGAGGAAAGAGGCCCTGTTCTAGAGGTCATTGTATCTCGAACAAATTTTATCTCATCACACACAGAAAAGCCTGTTAGAATAGTTGGACTATCTACTGCATTAGCTAATGCCAGAGACCTTGCTGATTGGCTCAATATTAAGCAGGTATGTAGAAGATTGATAAATTATGCATTTATTTAGTAGTGTTACTTTGATGATTCCTTTTAAGAGATATTATAACCTTATAAAATTCAATATAAAAATTGAAAATGGTTTCTCTCTCATATTTACTCTAGATGGGCTTGTTTAACTTCCGACCATCAGTACGCCCAGTTCCACTGGAAGTTCACATTCAAGGCTTTCCAGGTCAACATTACTGTCCTCGTATGGCTAGTATGAACAAGCCTGCATTTCAGGGTAAGCTTCAGATTCTTGGAATAAAATAGTAACCATTGTTTATGGTAGCTATCAAATATCTTCTAATTGGTGTTGGTTTCTTTGAAAGGATGATACTGGTCCAGCTTCTACGTATATCTAAAACTGTTTGTCTCAACTGTTAAGGAATACAAATATATGTTAAATTACCTAGTGAAGATTGGAGCGATTTCACAAATGGTAATGACTTTGTAGTTGAATAAAAGTATGTAATTAAAAAAAGTTATCAGAGTTTTCTTAATATTAATCAAAGTGTTTTTATGATAGTAGCTTGGACAGATGAGAAATGGAAGCTACAGGTCAAAAACATCTCATAATCATTTTTATGAGAAATCATAAAACTTAGAAATTTCAGTACTTTAGTACAGTGCTTCTGTTTTTAGTTTTTCCTCTTCTAACAAATTAGGCAAACAGGAAAGATTTAAGAATAGCACTCCTATTTTATTGAAACATGTTTTATTTGGGCTGCATAAAGAATATTTATTATATCAATTAAAAATAACCTCAAAAATAAATTCTCAAATGTGAGCTGCTGTTGATTGTGTGGTGACAGTTGTGAGGTGACTTTTTAGCTGCTGTAATTAGCCTTATGACAGAAGCAAAGTATTGATTGTGAACTAGAGACCAATCTTGGCAGTTCAGATTATTTACACCTCCACAGAAGCATTGTACAAAATCACTAATGAACAATAAATCTGCCGTGAGCTGTTCAGCCACACCTGTTCTTTCAGCAGCAAAAATCCATTAGATGTTGAGGTTTAAAGAAAGACAAGAGATCCATTTATATTTATGTGTCCAAATGATATCAATATTGTACTAATATGTGTATTTTAAATGGTGTATCTCTAATATGATTTATCAAAGCTTTATCATTTACATTCTGTAACATTCTGATAAACAATAAAAGGGTGAGAAATAAGATAAATGAGTTTATTTTTCATAATATATATTGTTGAAATTGCATATATCTATATGGAATGACTGCATACCATTGATGGAAAGGAAGTATTTTGTCTTATATAAATCAATAGTAAATAACTAAAGTACTTACACTTCCATAGAAATGGTATCAGCACAGCAGCTATACTTATGTACTATTTATTATACCTGTAGTGATTACTATATTTCTTTGAGTTTAGAAATATGATTGTGTGATAGCTTTATTTCTCATAGTTAGGATGTAAATAAAGTCAAGGTCATGTCAACATTTCCATTATAAACCTTGTTTCCCAGCCCATAAAAAGAAATTCTGCAGCTCACATTTCAAACAAGAAATTACAAAGAGGTTGAACTTTTTATATAAAATTTTTAAATATCTCTGACTGTTTTAAGAGAGTTGTGTAGACCTAAATATATATTCTACTCGTGGCATCTTATCAGCTTTTTGGAGCCTATGTAAAGCAAAAAACAAACAAACAAACAAACAAAAAACCTCATTTCAAGATAAGCCAAGTGATTTATGTGGCTCTTTAATTATTTTTAAAGATTTGATTTACAAAATTTACTTCAGTCTTGTTACTCTGGTTTGTGTTGACCAGAGTCATCTCATCTTCTTTGTGTTGACTACCATGTCCCATTACTCAGATACTCATTCAGGCATAGTATTCTCTTCAGCCCTCTTCTACGTTATCTTGTCTGCCTTTCTCACACATATGCTTTTAAAAAAAAATGGAGGGAAAACTTTCTTCTGATTTATCTCTTAACCTGTTTACTGGTACAAACTTCTCCTAATTTTTCTATCACTGATAACAAAAATAAAAGAAACTTTTTGTGGTCTTTCTAGACATTTTCCGTCACTTGACAGGACTTGATTTTCTCACCAGACCCCAGGACCAGTTAACTCTGTAATATCACTGCTTAGGCAAACACAAATAGCTGAGAAACACAACTTAGTACAGAAAACTCAATCTAAGATTTAGTGTCCATGTATAGCTCTTAATGGAGAGTCTCAGTCTTTAAGTTTCTCCTTCCTTGGCAACTCAGAATAGAACTTGGACCCAGCATAATTAAATCTTTTCTCTCCTAGGCAATATACTCTCTAGGTAGGGCCATCAACCTTTCTTTTCCTATTATCTGTCTAATATGCTGCCAGATCCATGTAGTACCTGCAATAATGCCACATTTCATGCCTAAATTGTTTACATCATTAGTTTTCATGTATCCATTTGATATCCTAATGAAATTCATATTCTGGGGTTAAGTATCTTTCCATTTTATTTCCCACAACTTTTCAACAGCAATTAGAAGCCATTCTCCAGCCAAACCTGTTTTGATATTTGTCTCATCAAGAC
This sequence comes from Homo sapiens, assembly GCF_000001405.40. Classification (NCBI taxonomy): domain Eukaryota; kingdom Metazoa; phylum Chordata; class Mammalia; order Primates; family Hominidae; genus Homo; species Homo sapiens. Next base: position 100,625,280 of record NC_000006.12, on the reverse strand, counting down.
GTCAAACTCGTCTTACTGCTTTGGAATTGATCGCCTTCCTGGCTACTGAAGAAGATCCAAAGCAGTGGTTAAACATGGATGAAAGAGAGGTAAGCAACATATTTTATCTTCTACTACTTACACGTTTCAGGTTGTATTATATTAGAATGATCATTACATATGTAATTGTATTATAGGGAAAGAAGAAATTCATAATACCGCCACCTTACCACACTATTAATATTCTGTTATAGTTTGTTCTACTATAGTCCCACTTAATATTTATTTTGTATATTCATATTTATAATTTTTTCCTTTAACGTTATCACCTGTGTATATTGTAACATTCAATCATTTTCATATTCTTTAAGTATTCACTGCCCTTACTGAAGTTAAAATCAATTTTGCAAAATTTGGGTTTTAAAAAATATATAATAATCTTTTTTTAATTTTAGGAAGCACTAATATATAAAAATTTAAAACCTGTTATTATCCTTTCCCTAAGTAATAACCACCAGTAAAATTTTAAATTAGAATTTTTGTGTCTATGCAGTTATATTCCATTATGCAACTATTTCATAGTGGTTTTCTCCTGTAATTTAATAATCATGCATCCTTATTATTGTAGATTTTTCTCTGTTTAAAATTATTTTCTCAGTATAGAGTTCTAAAAAGAAAATCAGTGGGTCAAATAATGTGAATATTTTTACAGCTTTTCAGGTACACTGCTAATTACTTTCCAAAAGAACTGTACTTATTGGTGTCATCACCACTGATGTATGAATTATCAGAAATATATGAGAGTAACAGTTTTACTACATCCTCATTTGTTGCAACTTATTGATATATTATAGATAAAATATTATCTTACCTTAATGTATGCCTTCATTTTTGATTGGTTGAACATTTTTTTTTCATATATTTACTAGTTGTCTTCTTTTTTATTTGTTGTCTCTTCATTTCTTTTGGTCTTTCATCTATTCCAGGACAGCATTTATTTTGTAGATTTGTGTGAGAGCTTTGCCAAATTTAGAAAAATATATACATATATAAAATTTTATAGATTACTTTTCTTCATATATGTGTATTTCTATACATATATACATATTAATCTTTCACCTGCTGTATTAGGTAACTTTGCTAGTTTATTGCTTGTCTTTTTTTCATGGTGTCTTTTTTTTTATTATTATACTTTAAGTTTTAGGGTACATGTGTACAACGTGCAGGTTAGTTACATATGTATACATGTGCCATGTTGGTGTGCTGCACCCAGTAACTCGTCATTTAACATTAGGTATATCTCCAAATGCTATCCCTCCCCCCTCCTCCCACCCCACAACAGGCCCTGGTATGTGATGTTCCCCTTCCTGTGTCCATGTGTTCTCATTGTTCAATTCCCACCTGTGAGTGAGAACAATATCATGGTGTCTTTTTACAAATAGAAGACTTTGCATTTTATGTAATCCAGTTTGTTAGTATGATCCTTTATGATTCTTTATACTACATCTAAATATAGATATTCCTCCTCCTCTCTATAGATTTAATATATAGTGATTGTTCTTTCTTACACTTTTCCAGTTTTGAAAAATATTTTCCTAAATTGAGTTACAATGAAAACAGATGAAATCAGTAGATAATTGTTGCATTGTGATCTCTCCACCAACCCTCTTCAGTGTTCCCACTTTGTAATCTCATGCAGGCTAAAGAAGAGCAGTGCTGTTCGGCATCAGTAAAAAACAATGTTCCAAATCCACTGGTGCCCAGGATTAACAGTTTGCATATTTCTCCCCTTCTACTTCTCATGACTCATTTAGAGTTAGTAGGACTGTTAGATAGTACTGTATGTATTACATTATTGTGTAATAGTTAACTGATATTTCAGAATGTTTTTGCTTAGTTCTATAGATGACCTTATTCACTAACAGACTCATAAATTAGCTTAATATGCAGGCTATCAAATGACTGCTTGAAGTAGAGTAATAGCGATCATTTTATCTTTTAAATTTTATCTTTATTTACTTAATGTTACTTGTATGGGTATACCAGATATTTAAGAAAATAATTTATGTTCAAAGTAATGTTGATAAAAGATTTTTTTATCCTGTATTATTTAATTGATATCTGAATAATCATCCTGTTGTGTCTAAGGTAGTATCATAACTTAGGAGGCAAATGATGAAAAATAGATATACAAAATATTGATGACTCAGTTTATGTGTGGTATCTCTCTAGGCTTAATTTTATTTTATATGTTATCCTAAAAGTCTTCCAAATGGACACTTTTCTTTGAAGTCAAGATACAATGTACAAACCTACCAAACACACTTTGGGATGTTTGCTTAAAGTATATAGACATTGTGCATTATCACAGTGTACACTTCCACTGTGTTTCTTTTTGTTGTTGTTGTTAATTTTAATATATGAGACCTAAAGAATTGTAGTTAGCTCAGACTTTGTGTAGAATTCCTTCTCTGTTTCATATTTTTTTTATCGGCAGAAAACTTTATCCACAAGGCTAGGTAGAAACTATAGAATATACTCTCGTGGTTTCTGCTGTTGTAGATTTTTCACTGCTAAAATAGGATACCTAGAATATTTATTTTATTATAAATTTATTATTGTATTTATTAACAAATATTTGTTATAATTGTATTATTTTTATATTTTTTTCTTCAACTTTTATTTTAAGTTCTGGGGTATATAAACAGGATGTGCAGGTTTGTTACATAGGTGTATTAGTCTGTTTTCATACTGCTATAAAGAACTACCCAAGACTGGGTAATTTATAAAGGAAAGAGGTTTAATTGACTCACAGTTCAGCATGGCTGGGGAGGTTTCAGGAAACTTACCATCATGGTGGAAGGGGAAGGGGAAGCAAGACCCCTACCTCACAAGGTGGCAGGTAGTGGAAGTGCTGAGCAAAAGGGGAAGAGCCCGGTATAAAACGATCAGATCTTGTGAGAACTCTCTCTATCATGACAACAGCATCGGGGAAACGGCCCCCATGATTCAATTACCTCCACCTGGTCTCTCCCGTAACATGTGGGGATTATGGGGATTACAGTTAACGATGAGATTTGGGTTAGGGTCACAAAGCCTAACCATATCAATAGGTGAACATGTGTCATGGTGGTTTGCTGCACAGATCAATCCATCACCTAGGTATTAAGCCCAGCATCCATTAGCTGTTCTTCCTGATATTCTCCCTCCCACCATCCTCAACAGGCCCCAGTGTAGTTCCCCCCGTATGTCCATGTGTTCTCATTTTTCAGCTCCCACTTATAAGTGAGAACATGGGGTGTTTGGTTTTCTGTTCCTGCATTAGTTTGCTGAGGATAACAGCTTCCAGCTCCATCCATGCCCCTGCAAAGGACATGATCTCATTTCTTTTCATGGCTGCATAGTATTCCATGGTATATATGTACCACATTTTCTTTATCCAGTCTATCACTGATGGGCATTTGGGTTGATTCCATGTCTTTGCTATTGTGAATAGTGCTACAGTGAACATACGTGTGCACGTATCTTTATAATAGAACGATTTCTATTCCTTTGGGTATATGCCCAGTAATGGGATTTCTGGGTCAGATGATATTTCTGCCTCTAGATCCTTGAGGAATTGCCACACGGTCTTCCACAATGGTTGAACTAATTTACATTCTCACCAACAGTGTAAAAGTGTTACTTTTTCTCCACAACCTTGCCTGCATCTATTGTTTCTGGACTTTTTAATAATTGCCATTCTGACTGATGTGAGATGGTACCTCACTATGGTTTTGCTTTGCATTTCTCTAATGATCAGTGATGCTGAGCCTTTTTTCATATGTTTGTTGACCACATTAATGTCTTCTTTTGAGAAGTATCTGTTCATATCCTTTGCCCACTTTTTAGTGGGGTTCTTTTTTTCATGTAAATTTGTTTAAGTTCCTTGTAGACTCTGAAAGTTAAATCTGTTAGTTTTATTATTGTATTTATTAACATAAATATTTGTTATAAATGTACTATTTATTTAAATGTGTGATAAAATAGGACAGCTAGAAATATTATGTCATTTCCATTTGGTTTTCTGTTCCTGCATTAGTTTGCTGAGGATAACAGCTTCCAGCTCCATCCATGCCCCTGCAAAGGACATGATCTCATTTCTTTTCATGGCTGCATAGTATTCCATGGTATATATGTACCACATTTTCTTTATCCAGTCTATCACTGATGGGCATTTGGGTTGATTCCATTTTGTTTCACCGCGCCCATCTGAAGAATAAGGCAAACTATGCTTTGTTTTAGTACTGATTCTAAAAGCAATCACCTTTAAAATGAAAATTTCAGAGGGTTTACAGCTGATTACTATGTAAATTCAGTGTGATTATACTGAAGCATACTATAAAGCAGGTGTTTTAGTTGTTGAACCCTTAAATAATTAGCCCTAAATAATTAATAGGAAAACTTTTTAACATTTTAATCTTTGTGTGGGTTACTTTCCGTAATATTCTGGGCTGGAAGCTTAGCGGTTGCTTCCATTGCTGCTCCTTGTGTAGTGTTAAATTGATGTTCTGTGGCAGGACATGGGTAATTGGTTAAGACTCTAGTGTTGACAACTTGAGCATTCAGAGGAAGCACAGCAGCAGTTATCCCGGCAACTATGAAGCAGTGTGTCTGGCATAGAACAGCATTCAAATTATTCTGCTGTTCAGTGACCTTAAGTCAAGAACTGTCTATAGATATTTGGGCTGGGGGCATGGAGAATAAAGAAAGCTAGGGTAGATCACAAGAGGCTAGAGAGAGAATATGACTAAGAAGAGTATATGTGTTCTCATTAATTTATTGGCAAAGGCAAAAAGAGTTATTCATCTATCTTCTTAATCCAGTATAGTTTCAAAGTATTAGGAAGCAGAAAGACACCTTCAAGTGTATCATTGATGTAAAGTTATACTGCATCAGGAAACCCCAAAGGAAATACCTTTCCATATTGTCATTAGGAATCCTTATTGCAGTGGTTTCAAAAGTTTATGGGTATATGCTACCATGTGACCTGGATTTTGCTACTTCTGCCACTAACCTCAAGCTATTATTAGGTCTTTGCATCATTCTCTCAAGCTTCAAGTCAAGATAGAAAGAGTTGAATGCCTGAGTTTCCATCTCTGGTATGCAGCAGAAAAAAGGAATCTCCCTTCTTTGGCTTCTCTCATAGGAGGTGACATTCAGATACTGGCTGCCCATAAACAACAAAGGTCCACTATGGCCCTTTCACTCCTCAAACTCATACATACACTACTTTTCCTATACCTACATTTAATTAAAAAATTTTTTTTCTAGCAATGCAAGGTCTCCTTCATTTAACCCAAATCCACTCATCCCTCTCCAAGGAAAGACAAGTAAAAATTTCGTCAACTCCATTTAGCACTTAGTCCTAGATCTCTTGCTTGTATCTAGTCACCCTCTAGTTCTTTTGCAAGCCCATCTCAGTATTCTCTAGTCAGTGGACTAGATTATAAAGTTACAGCTAACTAATGCCGTATTCTACAGTAAAAGAGGATAGAAAGAGGGAAGAGGAATAAAATTAGTTTAAATATATTAGTTAAAATATGTTGATATATAAGACAGCAAGAGAAAATGATTAGAGACCACTCTGTATTTCTGCAACTAGCCAGGGGGCCAAATAGATATTTATGATTCATTTTCTCTACCATACATCATCTGTACATTTTTTCTTCAACCAGTCATGAAGCTAATCAAGACTCTTTATCCAGTGGAGTGACCAAAAGCATACATTCTTGATAGATTGAAAATTGCAATTTTATATATGGTTAATATATAGGATTGTAAAATCTTTAATTAATTTTTCAAATGGATACAGTAGTGTCAGATTTATTTATGTTCTATCCAAATTTCTCTCCCCTTATTATAAAAAAATAGCCCAATTTCTTCATCAGGATAAGTTTCCCAGACTATACTGAGACCACATTTTGTTTGTTCATCCAAGAACCTGAGAGCCTGAAGTGGTCATGTGGCTGTTTCAGTTTCCAAGTAAACTGTTAATCCTTTTGATAATAAGCCTCCGAACTAGCAAAGCTAGAGTTATAGGGAAGAGAAGGCAAAAGTTTTCAAGTGGTTTTTTGTCTGTGATTTCAAAAGACATCCACACACCTTGAGTACTTGGTTCCTGGAACCATATATTCTGGCAATAGAACAAATAGCATCATTGATGATTACTAGTTCAGAGGCTACACCTCATCCTGCAGGATAGTACCCCAACCTTTCCCAGGTATTGCCTCCCAGCTGCCATTCTGAATCTTTAATCTATAAAACCAGCTCTTTCTATTAATGAGAACATAATAAGACCAGTGCATTCAATGGCATCATCCTATTGTCTTACCTTTTCCTTTATGAAGTGAGTTCCTCAGACAGAAACATTATTATACAGGGTATCGTCATGATGTATAAGGCATTCAGTAATTCTACCCTTGAGGCTACTAGCAGAACCATGTTTGGTAGGAAAAGAGAATTAAAATCCAAAGTAAGTGCCTGTTCTTACAGAGATGAATACGTGTCTCCTCAGTGATACAGAAGGTCCAGTATAATCTTCTCACCACCAGATAACTGTCTGGTTTCAGGGGTAAGATACTTTATTATGGGCCCAGTGTTTCCACTGTTGGCATATTAGGCACTGAGCAGTAGCAATAGCTGGGCCTTCGTGAGGAAAAGGAAGTTTATGTTTCACCCATGCATAATTTTCATCTCTTTTACTTTGGCCACTGAGTACATAACCTATTGCATAAAACACTGTGGCCTGGGAAGGAGGCTGTCCGATATCCTAAGAGGTGGTTATTTTGCCCATTTGATCATTACCAGCATATTGCACAATGCTCTTAACTTTTTGTCACGAATCTTCGTGAAATACAGGTAGCCTTTTATTCTGGCACTGTTCTAAGAGTTCATCCACCTAAAACTTGTGCCTTTCTGTCCTCCAGTAATACTCTTGTCAAACTCCTTACCATCTGGCTAATCTGGTTACCTTCAGGGCAAAATGTGAATCATCAACTTGCATCATCTCTACTTTCCAGTAAAGTGACAGTGAAATACTCAGTTTATGATCAACAGTTTTCATTGCAAGGTCACCTGGTATCACATAGTCGGGCACTCAGTCTTCTTTCGCTTCCTACTTCCCCAAAATATCCATAAAAATAGCAGTCCTCTAATTCAAAGCCATAGGCAGCCCTTCTCAGAATCTGTAAAGTATTCATTTTTAAAAGAAGAAGTTATATTTTGGACATGTTAGTTTGTATATCTAAGACTTTCAAGTGGAGATTTCAAGGCAATTAGATACAAGTCTGTAAAACCCACAGAGACTGTGAAATGAACATATGAACATGGATGCATCAGCATGGCGGCAACCCTTAAACCAAGGTAAGCACATGAGACTCTCAGACAGAGTGTGGAGAAACAGAGGGCAGGCCCTGAGGGATTCTCTTAGTGCGAGCTGAGATAGAAAATGAGGAACTGGCACAGGTCACTGAGAATGTGATGCCAGTATAGTAAGACAGTGTCCTAAAACACTGTAGAAGAGAGGGTTCTGTGAAGGAAGGAGTGCTTGGCTATATCAAATGTAAATGGGAGTTGAGTGGAGGAGAGCACAGGAAACACCCATGGGGTTTATCATTTGAAGGTCCTGGATGAACTTGGCAGTCAGTGACATGTGAACAGAAGCAGTTTGGAATAGACTGAGGAGCAAATGAGGGGGGCAAGGAGGTGAAAATAGAAGCAAATAGCATATACAACTTCTAGAAGTTTTACTGTGTAATTTAATTAATATTATAATTTAACATCTAGCAAGTATGATCTGTCAGCTTCCACCCAATATTCTGCAGTCTGGTCCCATATTTCAAGGAAAATAGTGCTACGATCTGGATAGTTGCCAACCAGCACTAACAGATAAAAGAACAGAGGGAAGGCCTTTTCTTCTGAGTGAGTCTATGGATTGAAAGCTCAGAATACTGGGCCAGGCACGGTGGCTCACGCCTGTAATCCCAGCACTTTGGGAGGCCGAGGCAGGCAGATCATTTGAGGTCAGGAGTTCAAGGTCAGCCTGGCCAACATGGTGAAACCCCATCTCTACTAAAAAAAATACAAAAATTAGCTGAGCATGGTGGCATGTGCCTGTAATCCCAGCTACTCGGGAGGCTGAGGCATGATAATTGTTTGAACCCAGGAGGCAGAGATTGCAGTGAGCCAAGATCGCGCCACTGCACTCCAGCCTGGGTGACAGAGCAAGACTCTGTCTCAACAACAACAACAACAACAACAACAACAACGACAACAACAAAAAGTTCAGAATACTGCCCTTAGATGAGATTCCTTTTCTGGGGTGGGAAAGCAGGATGCTGGCTGAAGATTAGACTTCATTCTTTAGTATTGCTTACATTATTTCCCTCAACACCTCTGTGTTTCTTGCCAGTTAACAGCAGGGCGGCCCCTTTCTTCTGCCACACTGTTAAATAAGATCCAGGTAGCTAAAAGAAGAATACAACAACAAGAACTCGCTATTCACTTTTGTCCTTACAAGTAGAAATTAATTAGGATTCTGCAAGGCCTTTTGCCATGAATGTTTTAAGTTGTGCTCTAAAGTCTACAACATCATCCAAAGGTAGGTGGGGGAAAAAATCTGAAGCAGGAAAGGTAAGAGCCTTCTGACTGGAGCAAACCATGGAAAAATTCCAGGTAGAGGTAATACGAAATTAGAAGGGTATGGGAGATAAGAGTTCCCTGGAACAAGGAACAGCAGTATAGTTAATCCTTGTTAATTCAAATTAATTGGCTGGAAGTCTCTTCTAAATTATACAGAACATTATTTTTTGAATGTGCCAATTATAATTTTACATGGTGCTTCAAAGTGAATTTATGAAAACTGTAATGCAGGTGCATAGGAAGAATACTTTCATGAAAAGTAAGATTGATAGTGTTTTCACATGCTTAATACTAAAGTGTTTTTAGATGCTAGAGCAGTTTATCATTTTAAGCTAAACATAATCCACCTAATCTCATTACAAGTAAAATATTAGTAGACCTACAGAGATGAACTATAGTTTTGCTTTACTCAAAATTATCCTGAGTTCAGATTTGGTGGAGATTCTAATGACATTTTACTATAGTTTTCTTTGATTAATTTGCCTGTTCATTCAACATATAAATAGATATTGGCCTCTTCTTGTAGGTAAGAAGTTAGTACTAGATGTTGAAGATGGATTTTGAAATTGTTTTAAATCAGAAATTAAGTTGAATTTAATGCAGGATAACAACATCATTTCTAACTCAAAGGACCTGTTTTTTATAGAACTAAAATAAATTTAGTTCATGGTACAAAATTCCCACCCCAAGTGCTTTCTGTTTTATCAAGCCTCATACCTCTAAATGACTGACCAGTAAATAAACTATTAAGCTGAGAATATTGAGTGTCAAGCAGACATTATCTACAGATTTGCTGAGCACTGAATGTTTGAAACCAGTTGGGCCTTGTGAAATATTTCTGCAATTTAGAGCAGCTATTCAGTATCCTTGAGTTACAATATAGGAGGCTGTTTTATTTTATTTTGCCTTAGTTGGTAGCATGCATATCCTACTGAAGAAGGAGGCAAAATGTATCAATTATTGCTAAGCATAATAGTAGTTTACTTTTACTAAACTAAGTATTAAGTGATGTATTTATATAGAGTACTTTAGAATTCATTAAAGTTTATATTATCACATTTTATCATGAATTCTCAAAGGGTAGTTTTTATTATCCCAGTTTTATAGATGCAAAAACTGAAATTAGAAGGATTAAGTGATTGTCCAGATAGCACAAGCAAGCAAGTGGCAGCTTAGGAACTCAAAACAGGGTAGCTAACCTACAGTCTCTGTTATTTTAATCTGCCATACAGTAATTGGAATCAGTGACAACAATATCGAATAGAAAAGATGGAAAAGTCATGGTGGGGGTGGGAGTAATTTGATGGGGACAAAAGTGCAATAAAAATAAAGAAAAATCAGTAGCTGGGCTGAGCACGGTGGCTCATGCCTGTAATCCCAGCACTGCAGGAGGCCGAGTTGGGTGGATCACCTGAGGTCAGGATTTCAAGACAAGCCTGGCCCAGGTGTGGTGGCACGCACCTGTAGTCCCAGCTACTCGAGAGGCTGAGGCAGGAGGATCACCTGAGCCTGGGAGACAGAGGTTGCTGTGAGCCAAAATCACGCCACTGCACTCCAACCTGGTCGACAGAGCGAGACTCCATCTCAAAAATTTTTTTTAAGAAAAGGAAAAAAAAAATAAAAATTAGTAGCTGAAATATCAAACGAGCAAACAACAGGAGCTGTGCCATTCTCAATCATGAAGATAGTTGAAAAAGGTAATATTTTAGTTTAAAAAAGAAAATAATTTTAGACATTCTTCATTTTTAGGCATAGAAGTGGGAAATTAATAAAAAATAGATTTATAAATCATCTGCATAGAGTTACTCATTATTTCATAACTCATTATTTCAAATACATTACTCATTATTTCAAATCTTACTTGTTTTCTGCATGTAGTCTAAAACACTGGGGCTCACCCTTAAGCCTGATTAATAATATTATTACTTTCATTAGTTAACTAAATATCCCTCTTATTCATGTAGTGATTAGAGGGTGGCATTGTGCTTGAGAGGATGGACTGGAGCCAGGCTTCTTGGTCAATACTGACTGCCTGTTACAAGCTATGTGGCCTTGGTAGGATTAATCTCTGCGCGCCATCTCTTCAGTTATGAAAGAGAATAATAGGAAACCCATCCTCATAGGAATGTTGTGAGGATTACATGTGTTAATACGTTTAAGATACCGAAACATAGTTAAATGTTTAATAAATATTAACTGTTATTACTGTGATTGTATAGCAACATGAAATTATACCTTATAGGTTCTCTTTGTTGAGAGTTGTGGTAAAATCTGATCTTATATTTGTACCTTTTTGCCTGCTGTGATCCTTCACAAATTTAATTCATGTTAATATCATAATTACGCATTTAACAATATACTACTTTCGAAAATTTTATAATGTCCCTTTCATTACCTTTATCTGCATTTTTAAAGTTTTTCAATATATGGAAATGCTAAATATGAGTTAGAATCAAAATTCTTCAACAATGGAAATAAAGATAAAAGTTATAATCAGAAATAAATATGAAGTGCTTACACTGGGATTTCCTACCAACAGCGTGCCAAATTAAATTAAAAACATGAATAAGAAAAAATCTTTAATATCTTACCCTACAACCCAGTTTTGATACTGCTTTTATTAAGAATTAGGCCAAGTGCAAGGGACATAGACATTTTTCAAAAGAAGACATACAAATGGCCAAGAAGTATATGAAAAAATGCTCACCATTACTAATCACCAGAAAAATGCAAACTAAAACCACAATGAGATATTATTTTACCCCAGTCAAAATGGCTATTATCATCTATGAGGATGCAGGGGAAAGGGAACTCTTACACGCTGTTGGTGAGAATGTAAATTAGAACAACCTCTATGGAAAATAGTCTGGAGATTTCTCAGAAAACTAAAAATAGAATTACCGTTCCACCCAGCAATTTTACTACTAGGTGTCTACCCGAAGAAAAAGAAATCAGTATATCAAAAAGATACCTGCACTCATATATTTATTGCAGCACTATTCACAATAGCAGATACAGAATCAACCTAAGTATCCATCAGTAAATGATTGGAATCAACCTAAGTATCCATCAATAAATGATTGGATAAAGAAAATGTATATATACAAAATAGAATACTATTCAGCCATAAAAAAGAATGAAATCATGTCTTTTGCATCAGCATGGATGGAACTATATAGGTCATTATCATAAGGGAAACAAGCCAGACACAGAAAGCCAAATATTGCATGTTCTCACTCATAAGTGGATGCTAAAAAATGTATACATGTGACTATGTACCCACAAAAAATAAAATTAAAAAAATTTAATTTATACAAATGGATGGAGAGGAATAATATACAATGGAGACTTGGAAGGGTGACAGAGTAGGAGGGAGGTAGACTATGAGTAATTACTTAATGGGTACAATGTACCCAATTCAGGTAATGGGTACCCTAAAAGCCCTGACTTGCCCACTACGCAATCTAGACAGGTAATAGATTCTGCTTGTACCCCTCCCTCAAAAAATATTTTAAGACAAATTTAAGCATGCTTTCCTGAAAAAAAAAAGAAAGAAAGAAAGAAAAAAAGAATTAAGCCAAACTAAAAAGCAAACATTGAAAATAGTATTGTGTATATTTGGCAAAATAGCAAAGATTTAGCTGTTATTGTTTGTATTTCATTTGTACATTTAATTTATATTTCACTTATATATTTACTTCACATGTAATTTAATCACATATAAATATATTTATATTTTGAAAGTATGATAAATCATTTTGAGGTGTGCTTGTCTTTGAGCGTCAGAAAGAGCAACGAAGTATAAATTTTGGGAGTATTGATACAGTTTAGAAACTATTCTTTTTAATTCATTTATTTCTTGAATTCTTTTTTATTAGTGTATCAGTAGAATGCTGTAAAATGTTTCATTGTTTTTCTTCCTTCAGTGTATGGGGTTTATCATACAGACTTGTATTAAAAGAAATTAACATTTGGTGATTATAAGGAAATGTTTTAGTGTCATTTAATATCTGTACCAGATATGATAGATTTAATTATTTTTATTTAAAAATAAAACTTCAGAACTTTTATGATTCTTCTGTGGTACATCTTTTATTGAGCATTTCAGACAATTGATAAGCATTATTCAGTGGCATATGGTCTGAGTCTGACATGCTTTGAAAAGAGTATAGAGTTCTGATAATGAGGATTCTGTGAAAATGAGAAAACCAGCACAACAGATATGCTTTGAGAAAGTATGGGTTTTTAGCATCTTGAAACAATATATCACATTCAAAAGGACAGAATTGGGCTGCACAATCTGTTAGCTCATTCTTGTTCAATCTGGTCTCCTCCTTTTGGTGCCAACGTTGTCATCAACTCACTGAATTATATTCGACTGGAATGTATTTCAGGCACAGAGTAATGTATCTACTTAAATGGAATCTATATTTCTACAAAAGCTTTTTGAGTATAATAAATATAAAATGTAAAAAAGTTCTATTAAGTTAAAGTAAATGGTTCAACAGTTTACATATGTGCCTCCTCCCCCCAACCTTAAGAAAAAGATCACTACCTAGAATAACATAGATCTGTTTTTCTGTTACGTATAATATTGAATAATTTTTTTAACAATCAGGTGGTCAGACATATTTCAAAGGCTATTTATTGGAAAGACACCTATACATTACAACAAATAATTTGTTGAACAAAAATGAACTATGGAAGTAAAACTTCTTCTATCAGTGTTTCATTTATCATGGTTTTTTTTTTTAATTCTATAGCAACTCTTCTTAACAAGAATTAAGCCTTAATGTCCTAAGGCATCCATTTTATGTATAAAATAAACTTGTCTCCTCTCCATCTAGAAAAGTACTAGCTATCACTAGAAAAATTGAGAAGATGGTAACCCAAGTATTTTTTATGGGGGTTAATTCTCTCATGGAACCAGGGCTAAGAAACTATACTCTTTAGTATTCAAAATCACTGGGTCTTTCCATTTGACATATACTCAGTTGTATAAATTAATTGTTATATTAGGACTATATTACTTTATATAAAGGATTAAATGTGATAATCTTTGTAAAGTGATAAACACAATGCCTGGCATATTATAAGTGCTCAACAAATTATATCTATTGTCATGTTTTAAACTTTCATTATCCTAAGTTCCTGAATACTTTTGCTTGTCTTAAGATGTTTTGATCAAGATGAAACTTATTTTTAAGTACAGTAACAAAGATGTATATAATCCAAAAAATTAGATTTTCAAATTTGTATAGGCCGTCCTAGTAGTATTTTGTGCTTAATGATTAACAGCTATAAATTTTGCTTTTTATGATGTTCAAATAATTTGAAATTCATCCAGAGAAACCATGTAATAAATGAAGTTTTTTGTGTGTGCGATTGTCTTCATGAGGATGTTAAGTCTTTGCCAGTTCAGATAAACAAACAGTTCTCTTTACTGCATTGATTTATGTGAAAGTGGGGTCTAGGAGATTGAGAAACTGTTAGCCTTCCCTGGTGTAAAAGACAGAATATTAATGCCTCACCAGACCTTCTGCCAGAGGATTCTTTAGCTTTCCTATGGCAAATGATTCATTATTCTTTGGGTATGATTGGCATTGCCACGGGGCACTACAAATTACACAAGTTATATATACTTATGTAAGTTTAAAAGTGAAAAAAAATCTCTCAAACTAATTATTAGAACAAGGACACCAGTGAATTAGTTCCTTGTAGTGTAAATTGAAGACATTTTATGCTGTGAACTATTGAACAAAAAATGGAGAATAAGTTGTCTAATGAGAATACCTAACATGTAGTTTATGAGACAAGACAAGCACCTTTCCTTATATCATGCATTTATAGTCAGTTTACATGTCCTGTGCTAATTTTAAGGTAAAGTGGATTCATACTAATATATTTCCATATTCCTGCTTAACAGTTCATAAAGTAAATAATACAAGAATACTAGGTGGCCAAACAGAATGAACTATTTATACATGAGCTATTTAGACATTGTATTCAGTTCAGTGAAAGTTGATAAATAACATTTCTTATGTGTATGTCATTAAAATATCACCTAGTTTGTACAGTGCTTTTTTAATACCTTAGTAATTATTATAAAGCTAAACTTTATTGTCCTATTTTATGGATTATTATAAGTATAAAACAGCTTGCTTCCACATTAAAAAAAAACTTAGAAAATTTTTCTGACTAGTGAAAATAAAATGAACAAGAAAGCAGTTGGAATGTTTCATTATGTGGATATTTTCATACATTTTTACTAAACTGCAGCAGCAGCAATAGTTTCTCAAGCTGAGGATTTTGTGATCTACTTATTGATTTATGCACAGACAAGCTACTAAGTATATTGCAAGCATGCTTATATATATTAGAGGTTGCTAATAGAAAAAAGGAAATAAGATCTGAAGAAATTGTCACTTTTTTATACTTCTATCTCAGGCATATAAAAGTTATGCATTTACTATTTCCAAGTTACTTCTCCCCTGTTGCTTACTGCTGGAATGTGGTGGTGAAACTTTAGAGATGTATCCTTCTTTTCAGTGCTCATGTCTTCTCAAATCACTTGGTCTTAACATTATTCTCCTCATGGAGTTTCCCGGAAAGAACTTCCTTATGCTGTGCCTTATGTTATCCTCTGCTTCAAGGACAGAGAACTATCTGAAACAAAGAAACTGGACTTTCTTTTTTTCTTCTTTTTTTGTGAGACAGAATCTAGCTCTGTTGCCCAGGCTGGAATGCACTGGCATGATCTAAACTTACTGCAACCTCTGCATCCCGGGTTCAGGCGATTCTCCTGTCTCACCTCCTGAGTAGCTGGGGTTACAGGCATGCACCACCATGCCCAGCTAATTTTTGTATTTTTAGTAGAGACGAGGTTTCTCCATGTTGGCCAGGCTAGTCTCGATTTCCTGACCTCAAACCTTACATGATCCACCCACCTTGGCCTCCCAAAGTGCTGGGATTACAGGTTTGAGCCACCACACCCAGCCACAACTATTTAGTTCTTTACAACAAATTTTGTAAGAAAATAAGATTTGCTTTTTCTTCCCATAAAATTTGTGTTACTTTAAGTATTTTCCATGTTGAATGGAAAGTGATAGAATATTCAGAGAGCGTTTCTACAACATGAGTTTCAAAAACCATTTAGATATATGACAGTTTAGTGAGCTAAACTCAGGCTGGAAATGTTTAAAAATGTAAAAATTATAATATATAAAAATTGTGAATATACTAAATGTAGCATTTAAAGTAAGATAAGGAAGTATTTAACCTATATTGCTAGAATAATTGGTTAATTATTTAGGAAAACTAAACTTAGATTTCTACCATAGTTTCTATACAAAAATAAATTACAAGATAATTATTTAAATTTAAAAAATAAAACTATAACAGAAGTTGAAGAAATGGGGAAATATGTATGTATATATTTAGGAAAAGTTTTCTAAGCAACAAAACATAAGGGACCGATTTACAATTTTAGGTCCATAAAGTTAAAGCATAAATAAAATAAAGTGCAAATAAAAAACTGGGGGCAAAAATATTTATAGCAGGCCAGGCGCGGTGGCTCACGCCTGTAATCCCAGCACTTTGGGAGGCCGAGACGGGCGGATCACGAGGCCAGGAGATCGAGACCATCCTGGCTAACACGGGAAACCCCGTCTCTACTAAAAATACAAAAAATTAGACGGGCATGTTGGCGGGCACCTGTAGTCCCAGCTACTCGGGAGGCTGAGGCAGGAGAATGGCGTGAACCCGGGAGGCAGAGCTTGCAGTGAGCCGAGATCACGCCACTGCACTCCAACCTGGGCAACGTAGCGAGACTCTGCCTCAAAAAGAAAAAGTATATATATATATATATATATATATATATATATATATAAAGTATATATATATAAAATATATATATAAAGTATATATATATAAAATATATATATAAAGTATATATATATAAAATATATATATAAAGTATATATATATAAAATATATATATAAAGTATATATATATAAAATATATATATAAAGTATATATATATAAAATATATATATAAAGTATATATATATAAAGTATATATATAAAGTATATATATATAAAGTATATATATAAAGTATATATATATAAAGTATATATATAAAGTATATATATATAAAGTATATATATATAAAATATATATAAAGTATATATATAAAATATATATAAGGTATATATATATAAGGTATACATATATAAGGTATATATATAAGGTATACATATATAAGGTATATATATAAGGTATACATATATAAGGTATATATATAAGGTATACATATATAAGGTATATATAAAGTATATATAAAGTATATATATAAAGTATATATAAAGTATATATATAAAGTATAAAGTATATAAAGTATATATATAAAGTATATATATAAAGTATATATATACACACACATATATAAATATGTATATAAATATGTATATATAGATATATATACATATATATGTATATATAGATATATATACATATATATGTGTATATAGATATATATACATATATATGTATATATATGTGTATATATGTATATGTATGTATATATAAATATATATATACATATTTCTAGCATATGATGGACAAGGGGTTAATATCGTTAATATATAAAAAAGATCACAAGCCAATTAGAAAAAAAAAGGCTATCACATCGACTTAAAAAATTAAAAGGTAAATTATAAAACAGCCAATAAATATAAAAAGTGTTTAGCTGTACTATTGATCGAAGATAAGAAGTAAACAAAAATACACCAGTTTGATTTTTTAAATAATATTCAGAGTTTTGAGAACATAGTAACATTGAGATGCTAATATGTTTATAGCTGTGTGCCTCTCTGGAAAACAATTTTTGAATAGGTATATGTATCCTTTTATCATTACTAAATTTACATATAGGATGAATAATAGTATTTACTATTACAGGGCTTTAGGGAAAATTAAATGCATATATAAGATTACTGTTATTATTTCAAATTTACAGTTAAAGAAACAGGCTTAGTGAGGTTGTGTGACTTGTTCAGGGCCAATAAGTTCTGTAAGAAAGCATAAATTGGAACAATTTCTTTCTGTCTGCAAGGATTATGGCTGATTTTTTTTTTCCACTATTTTTTGGTCTGTATTTTTAAAATTTTTGGCACTGAACTTCAAAAACAGTGTTTTTTATAACAAGAGATGAACAGAGACACTGAAATATTGCATCCTTTTTAATGGTTGTTACTCATTAAAGAACATATCATTTATCTACAGATTTTTTTTCTTGATGCATAAAAATAAGATGGATAACATTTAAACTTTAGTGTGTTTAGAGTATATATTCTCACCAAGTAGATATTCTTTTCAGTTAGTTGAACTTTAATCATAACTGTATATAGGACTTATATTTTATGTCCATATAATAACATAAAGACAAAATTAATGTTTTTTGAAACATGAAAAATTAATGAAAATTTTAAAGTTATGCATCTACATCTTGTAATTTTGTTTTTACTTGCAGATGGAGAACATCATTGCAACAGTAAGAGATTCCAACCTCAAGCTGACCCTTGCTTTCGGGATAGGAATGCATCATGCTGGACTACATGAGAGGGACCGAAAAACAGTAGAGGAACTATTTGTAAACTGTAAAGTTCAGGTACTTTTTTTTCTCCAGTGAACACATATTTAAATGTAACTTAAAAGTTATATTTTACTTAGATATAAGATATTTTATTTTGCTTTTTAGGTTCTTATTGCTACAAGCACATTAGCCTGGGGTGTAAACTTTCCAGCTCATTTAGTAATTATTAAGGGAACAGAATACTATGATGGAAAAACAAGACGTTATGTGGATTTTCCCATTACAGGTAATTTTCTTAAATTCACAGAAATACATGAAGCTCTATTTTACCCTGAGTAAATTTGAATTTGAATAATTAATTTGAATTTCCACCAATTAAACTTCTGAGAATTGGTCACATTTAAACAGATGATAAGCAATTATAGACTTTTTGTTTTCAGTTAAAATATTATACAAAATATTGCTGCTGTATTTACTTTTACTTACACAAAAGTAAGAAAATAATAAGTGGCTTAAAGTACTTGTTATTAAGCCATCCAAAGTTGGTTTCAAATTTATAAATAGATAAAAGTACTTCTTAGGAGCTATTAGTGAAATTCCTTAGTAAATTATGACTAAGTATTGTTTTGCTTAATTTTAAATGTGTTTCACTAGAAATGATACCTCCATGGGATTTCCAGAACCAAAGTGTTTATTGCTACAACTTATGCATGAAGACTCTGTTAAGATATTTTAAAACATGATAAAAGCATTTTCAGTGAGTTCAAAAAGGGAAATACACTCAATGTATATTTCCACTAAATGAATACATGTAAAAGCTGTATCATTTCTAAATCATTAGTTATCTCAGAGATTTATGTAGACTAAAAGAAAGAAATTTTATACCGGGGTGCAGGGAGGACAAGGCCTAAATGGGTTCATTATTCACGGGGAAAATAATCAAATGACTCTGCTGAAAAGATTTTTGTATATATATTTTATTTTTTACTTTTTCTTATTTAATTAAAATAATATCTATTAAACAGCATTTTAAAGCATTCCACTAAAGGGAATTTTCATCTTTCTTACATCTATAAATGTTAAGAAAGACCCTTTCAAAGACTCAGTTTTTCATCATAGTTACTTGCTTATTTATCAATTTTCTGAGTTAATTATATTAATTTAGGGAACTCAACGTAGTAGTAGCCATCAACATAGCAAACATATTATCACAATATTCTATTTCTTTTGTTATTTGGTTGATTATAGAAGCATGCCATAATCAGTAAATATACCTTGTGCTATATGCCACATTGTAGAATATCTCTTTGTTCTCTCTTTTAAAGATGTCCTCCAGATGATGGGGCGTGCTGGGAGGCCGCAGTTCGATGACCAAGGCAAAGCTGTAATTCTAGTTCATGACATAAAGAAAGACTTTTATAAAAAATTTCTTTATGAACCTTTCCCAGTAGAATCAAGGTAAATCTTATTTAAATTAGTTTAAATGGATTTATTTAATCACAAGTTGGTGTTTTTCTGGTTATATTTTATTATATAAAAATCAGTAAAACAGGTAGCTTAGAAGAATTTAATATAATGTGAAACAATATAATTATCACTTTATGACAATATTCAATTATAATTTAAATGTTAAAAATAACTTTTTAAAATAAGCAGTATAGTACAGTGTTCAGACGCATTGACTATGAAGCCAGATGACCAGGGTGAAAATCTGAGCTCTACCATTTACTTGCTTGATCTTGAGCAAGTTGCTTAACACCTCATTGCCTTATTGCACCTATTGTAAAATGGAGATGGTAGCAAGACCAGCTATCTCATAGAGTACTAATAATAATCAAATACATAGTGCTTAGAACAGTGTCTATCACATAATAAACATTTAATAAAGTATTAGTTTGGTGAGGGTTTTCATAGTACAGTTGTACAGTTAATAAATAAATATCCCAAATAAGGGAGCATGTAATTAATGATTTAGGCTGCTGGCTCATTTGAGAATCATCCTATACCTCTTTTGGGACCCAGTAACCACTACCCCTTTCTCAAAGTCTTCTCTTGTATTCTCAGCTGAAAATAACCTTTCTTCCTTCAGGTTTAGGTATTTTTCACTTATAAATACTTATCACTTTCTACCTTTTATCATAGTCCTTTTCTATATATTGGATCTCCTTTACCATATTCTAACTGCATTGAAGACAAAACATCTGATTTATCCTGTATATAATTGTTGGTTCTTTTTATTTTTTATAAGTGCTAATAATGTTGATTTTAAAAACTTAAAAAGTCAGCCAGGCAAGGTGGCTCTCACCTGTAATCCTAGCACTTTGGAAGGCTGAGGCAGAATTGCTTGAGGCCAGGAGTTTGAGACCAGCCTAGGTAACGTAGATAGATCCTGTCTCTACAAAAAAGTAAAAAAAAAAAAAGTTAGCCAGGCATAGTGGTTCATGCATGTGGTCCTGAGGCAGCAGGAGGATTGCTTGAGCCCAGGAGCTTGAGGTACATGTGTTGTAACACCACTGCACTCTAATTTGAGCAACAGGGTGAAACTCTATCTGCAGAAAAATAAAGGAAAAAGAAAAAAAAATTAGTAGTCTAAGTACTGATCTCAAGAATTTAGAAAAAAAAATAGCGAATTAAACTCAAAGAAAGAAAAAGAGTAAGAATTAATAAACTGAAAATAAACATAACTAGAGAAAAATCAACAACACCAAAAGTTGGTTCTTTTAAAAGGATGAATAAAATTGATAAATTTTTTAGTCTAAATATCAGGAATGGAAAAATATCACAGACTGGAATAATAATAGGATATTAACAACCTAATGCAAATAATATTTAAATTTTGTATCAAATAGTAAAATTTCTTTTAAAAATTACTAAAACTGACACAAAAAGATAGAAAATCTAAATAGTCTCTCATCTATCCAAAGCAATTGAATCTGAAATTTAAAATCTTTTAGAATGAAATCTTCTGACCCAGAAGCTTCAATGGTGAATTCTTCATAACATTTAAGGGTGAAATAGCATCAATCGTACACAATCTCCTCCTAGTAGTGGAAAAGGGAAGAATACTTGCCAGCTTGTTTTATGACACCAGAACAACTTGGATACCAAAACCTGATAAAAAATTTACGAGAAGGGAATATAACAAACGTCTCTCATTAATATAGATGTAGAAATTCTAAACAAACAATAGTTAATCAAATCAAGCAATGTATAAAAAGATAATATATTACTACCACATGCAGCTTATTCTATAAATGCAAAGATGATTATTTGAAAAATGAATGGATATAATTCACCACATGAACAAAAATGAGAAAAATCATATAATCATTTCATAGATGTAAAAAAAATTGATGAAATTCCATACCTATTTATAATAAAACTGTTAGCAAGCAGGAGTATGAGGGAATGTTCTTAATCTGATAAAGAATATCTACAAAAAATCTATATCAAACATCATAATTTATAAGAAGATATTGAAAGCTTTCCCTTTGAGATAGGAAATGATAGAGGGATTTTGCTGTCACTTCTTCCAGTAAGCATTGAGCTACAGGCCCAAACCACTGCAGTAAGGTAACAAAAAGAAATGGAAGTCCAAATATTCTTTTGAGAAGAAAGGGACTAGAAAAGCACAACAGGAGGGCTTCTGGGACACTTTCAATGCTTGATGTTGATGTTGATTACACAACTGTGTTCACATTGTAATAATTAATTGTGTTGTACCTATATAATTTATGTAATTTTTTCTGTGTATACTTCGATAAAAAGTTAACTAAATTTTTTTTTGGTTTTGTACCTTGATATGACCGTTATTATTTTATGTATTACATAGTATTTCATAATTTATTTATTCATTTCTCTATTAATGTGCACCTAGAGAATTTCCAGTTTTCTCCTCTTATGTATAACGTTGCAGTGAAAGATTTTCTTTCCTATTCTCACATGTAAATGTTTCTCTAGCAGATCATAATGAAAAAGTGAAATTGCTGGTTCATAGTGATTGTTCAGATAGATATTACAAATTTGATCTCAAAATTGACTGGACCAATTTGTAGTCTGCAGCTGGTGACCTGAGAGTAACATAGCAACTTTTTTAAAAATTCAACTTATTATAACTATTTTCTCGTGTCCTTTGCAAAAACTATTTTTAATACCTGCATATTTTTCCATGAATTATAGTTTTACTTAGCTTTTTCTTTTGTTGAACATTGCTTCCTTTTTTATATTTAACATAAGAAACTAAACTAAACATTTTGTTATACCAGTCTTTCAACACATCTGATTATCTTTGTGTACTCCACAACACCTAATACATAATGTCTTATATGACTAGGGACTTTAATATTTACAAATTAATGAAGAGAATATATTTGCTCACTTTTCTGTTCTAAATAGCATCTCTTTGTCAA
Source organism: Homo sapiens (assembly GCF_000001405.40). Taxonomy (NCBI): domain Eukaryota; kingdom Metazoa; phylum Chordata; class Mammalia; order Primates; family Hominidae; genus Homo; species Homo sapiens. The sequence goes on along the minus strand of NC_000006.12, from coordinate 100,602,616 downwards.
CTCTCCTTTAATCTGCCTCAGTACTTATTCTATACTTGCTCCATGTCCTGTACCTGTGCTCTTCCTTCCTCTGCAAGATATCTCTTCTGTTGCCTGCTCTTACTCTACCTCTCGTGGCTGTCCTCATCTCCTGAAAGTCAGTAGCTTTTTTTTTGTCAGCTTGTATTTATTTTACACCTAGCAATTTATTTTCCAAAAATGATTGGTAGTGATAAGTGCCATTTATTGAGTACATACCATGTGACAGGCACTAGTGATTGCTTTCAACAAATTATTACTACTGTTAACTTAATCTGGAAAAATATTATTATAATAGTACTTTTGTGACATTCTAACTAGCCCACTTTTTATTCACATTTAAATGAAAATTATAACATACTTCTTTAAAAGAAAATGAGAACACATATATGTACTGGTGAATAATACGGGTTCACCTGAGTTCATGATACTAAGTGATTTATAGACTCATGGTTAAAGTATGTTGGAACCAAATTCCCACTAAATAATTTGGAATGAATTATTTACACAGTATACAAAATTATATACTAAATATTTAAGTTATATAAAACAAATTTGTTTTTATCTTAGAACATAAAATCTGAATCTTGACTATGTGAGATAAATTTCAGTGTTTTTAGTTTAATGCTCTTGTATGCTTCCCATGTCTTGTTCACTATATAGTTTATTAGGAGTGCTCTCTGACCACTTAAATGCAGAGATTGCTGGTGGTACAATTACATCTAAGCAAGATGCATTGGATTATATCACCTGGACTTACTTTTTCCGACGTCTTATCATGAATCCCAGGTAAGTGCAAGGGCAGTTATATACCTTTCTGTTTTGCCCCGAAATAAGACATATTTGAAAGTAATAAACTCCAAATTAAGGTACATACAAAAAAGGCAGAACTTTGGAGATTCTAGGTATATGAATTTGTCTAAAGAATCAGATGATATCTCTGGTATCACAGTATATAAAATATCAATAATTATATGCATTTGTTACTTAACCTATTTTAATTACCTTAAGCCATCCTGAGGAGTTTGCTCTGTAATTGAGACATGAGATACCTGAAGTCATTAAGAAATGTGCTAAACTACATGATAGTGACTGACTTAGATGCAGTTGGAATTCAGAAAAGAGTGAGGCTTGTGAAGTTGTAGGTGGAAAAAAATTTGTGGGGCATTTATAAGTGTTAATAAGAATATTGCAAGAGAAAATAAAATTGAGGTGTGGTAGAATGTCACTCCAGACAGTATGTTAGATCTTCGTTCAGCACTTACTGTTTTTCAGATGGTAAACTAAACACTGAGATGTAAAAATGAGTACATGACTCCCTGTTTTTTAAGGGCTGATCTTTAGTGTGGGAAAAACCATATAAGTCGTTACAATGAATATTATAAATCCTCTAGTAGAACGATATTCAAGCCTATGAGAGTGACAGCTTCACAGAAAAGGTGACACTTCATCCAAATCTTGAATCAGGAACAGGAGTAGAAAAGGCGGAAGGCACTTCAGGCAGAATTAAATTATGTGGGCAAAAATCCTCAGGGCTTGAAAGAGTCATAAGCATTTAGAGAATATGAAAAAGTTTAATGTAGCCAGAACCTAAGGAGAAGGGAGACAAGATTGTCTTGACTACAAAGTAGGCCAAGAACCAGAGGCTACAAGGCCTTTATGCTGTGCTAAGTAGTTTGCATCTGATCCTAGAGGCTATGGTGAGTGTCTTTAAATATGGATTAACATTACCAAATTACGTTATGTTTTGTTAAATATTTATTGCACTATGGTAGGAAGTGAAGTGGGATGGAAAGACCATTACAGCAGGAAGGCCAGTTAGGAAGCTACTGAATAATAGGGAAAAGATGATGAGGACCTTAGATACAGAGTGAATGGAGGGAGGGTCAATGTTAAGGCACATTCCAGATGTAAGTAAAAGAAAATATTAAACCATTGTAAAGTCTTAGAGAAGTCATGATGAAAATGTTCTTACTAAATCTTACCTACTAACACCTTAAGAAGTTTCTTTTCAGCCAACATTTTCACTTACTTAGATAGGAGTTTGAGAATATGGTGACATTTTGCCCAGTTCCCTCCACCGTTAGGGTGTCTGGGTTAGGTACTAAATATTATTTGAGAACATAGCTGCAAAATTAGTGAGATAGCCATCCAGAACTGCACATTTACCACAGTAAACAAACACATTACAGGATTAGAATCATGGAATAGACTTCACATTTATTCTAGCCCAATCTTCTTGTTTGATATTGAATATATGGAAGCTGGAAGCTTTAAATCACTTGTTCTAGGTCCCATTACTATTTCTTGATAAAGCCAGATCTTACGAAGTCAGGTTTTCTGACTCATAATCTACAACTGTGTGTGTGTGTGTGTGTGTGTGTGTGTGTGTGCATGTGCATGTGTGTATAGATGGGAGTTGGCATGTAACTGTAGATATATTTATCATTTCTATTACATAAGAATCAAGGCATTTAGTGTGACAGAAAGAGCTTTGGGCTTGGAATCAACACACTGATTCTTATTTCCTCACTATCCTTTACTAATGGTGTGAGTCTGAGTCACTTTACCTCTCTGAGCTAGACGTTCTTCATCTGGAAAGTAACGAATAGCCTCCCTCCCTCACTGGGTCATATTGAGAATTAAATAAATGAATTAAAGCCATTCTAATTCTGTATTAATTATAAAGAATATAATGTCGATTTTGAGCTGCTGTTCTGGACTCTCTGTCAGTTGCTTTACTGATCTGTACCATCCTAAAGAGTCTAGTTTAGAGATAAGAACCTAGTCATTTTAGTCAGTTTGTCTAATTAGCACACAGAGACATAATTCTCTGAGGCCAATTTAGTACTTTAGCAAATTGTAGTTCCTTACTGAATCCACAGATACGTTGCCCTTTGTATATGTATCTCCTTTTTAAATTTTTTTTTAATTGTTGAACTTTCTATTTTAAATTGCAAAAAAAAAAAATAGTACAAAGCAGCACTGTATACCCTTCACCCAGCTTCCCCATGTTAACATCTTACATGACCATGTCTAATTATCAAAATCAGGAAATTAACATTTATACAATACTACAAGCTATTCAGATTTCACCAGTTGTTCCACTAATGTCCCTTTTCTGTCCAAGATCCAGTTAAGTACCCTGAGTTGCATTTAGTTGCCCTGTCTAGTTCACTCTAGTCTGTGATATTTCCTCAGTCTTCCTTTGTCTGTCATAACCTTGACATTTCTGAAGAGAACTGGCCAATTGTTTTGTAGAATGTCCTTCAATTTGGCTTTTGCTGATTTCCTCATCACTAAATTCAAATTATGTCTATTCAGCAAGAATATTACAGAAATGATATTGTGTTCTTCTCAGGACATAATATTAAAAGGTTCTTCTCTGCTGGTCCTATCTATATTTAAAATATCACCTTGTATGTGAAAGACCCTAAAATATGTGGCTATAATCTGCTGTCTATCAAGTTACAATTTTATTTCTCCAGCCTTCTGAATGTTGCCACATGGACTTCCCACCATCATTTCACTTTAACATGTCCAAAACTGAATTAATCATGTAACTCTAAAAATCTTTCTCTACTCTAACTTTCTTACTTTTCTTAATATTATCACTGTATCTGTTTACCTTGACTTAAAACCCCAAGTTTGCTTTTTGATCTTCCCTCTCCTTTGCTTCCATAGTCCTCTAACTGCTTAACCTGCTTTTAGTCTGTCTTTCAATTTTGCCTACTTTGTAAACTGTCAGATAGTATTGATCAGAAATTAAATGTATTATATAGGGGGTGGGAACTAGATAAGGTTTAGTTAGCAGACACAGAATGCAGTAAATCTTTAAATTAAGATAATGAGTAGGAAATTGTCCAGTGTTTACATTTTTTTCAACCATAAGAGTGAGATGAGCCAGGAGCACAGTTGGAGACACGGGTCAGAACAGGGGTCCCACACACAGGGAGCTGGGTAGGTATGACTCCCTGTTGCTCTGGTTACAAACTGCCTTCTATTTTATAATATTATGGTGAGAAAATCCACATGAAACTGTAATAAACAGTAGTAATGAAAGAACAGGAAGTTTGGGGAGACTTATCACAGTAGACAAAAGATGAAATCTTAAGAGGTTTATTAATTACAGAAATTATAGTGAGCCTCTGATCCAGAGTATTCTTGGGTATTAGCAATTTAGGATGTCTCCTGCTCACACATGGTGGTAGTCAGTGTAGTCCATGTAAATAAATGAGTATTCTTTAGTTCACACCTCTTTAGCTGTAGGAAATTTGGGGACTGAAAGTCAGAAGGGTAAATTGTCTTCATGCATTGACTAAGAGCTCTTAGTAGTTGTGGCAGCTGCTTTCCCTCACATCTTGCTACCCCAAAAAGAGGGTTGAGTATCTCCCGCCTACCACCAAAGGGGCTAGTGTAGATATTAACCCACACCGTCTACATAAGAGGTTCCTCTCACTTTTGTGCTTCTGCTGTCACTCTTCTTCTTGCCTGCAGTACCCTCCTCAGCCCTTACAGCTAGCCAAGTCTTAACAGTCTAAAAAGTCCAGTCAATATTGATAAATGTAGCTTCAACTGATTTTCACAAGTAACAGTTTATCCACTTTTTTTTTTTTTTTTTTTTTGAGACGGAGTCTCGCTCTGTCGCCCAGGCTGGAGTGCAGTGGCGCTATCTCGGCTCACTGCAAGCTCCACCTCCTGAGTTCACGCCATTCTCCTGCCTCAGCCTCCCGAGTAGCTGGGACTACAGGCACCTTCCACCATGCTCGGCTAATTTTTTTTTTTTTTTCAGTAGAGACGGGGTTTCACTGTGTAAGCCAGAATGGTCTCCATCTTCTGACCTCGTGAACCGCCCATCTCGGCCTCCCAAAGTGCTGGGACTACAGGCATAAGCCACCACGCCTGGCCCAGTTTATCCACTCTTGACCATTCATATTTCATGTGTTGGTTCCTTCAGTAGCCACCAATACATATGTTGAGATACGTGGCTGGGCTGTCATTATTATTCTGAAGTAGAACCCTATGCCCAAGCTGTTGCCATGTAAGTTCATAAATCTAGAATAGATACAGCAATAATTTGTTTTTCAGAAAAAGCTATGATTGGCAACTCTTACTTTCTGTTGGAAGATAGTAGCAACATAAATAATGACTTCTAGCCTCAAAAATCATAAAATTTACTTAAAATTATAAAGTATAAGCATTTAAAAATTAATTTTTTTATTTCTTAATTCTGTAAACATTTATTGAGTACCTACTATGTTCCAGGCACCACTCTAGCCACTTTGAAGATGTATTAGTAAACTAAACAAAAACTTTTGCTATCTTGGCACTCATGTTCTTTTAGCAGAGACGGTAGATTTTAATATTATTAAAAGGTAATAGATGTTTAGAAGGAAAACAGGATAAGGAAGATTGGGAGAGCCAGAAGGCGGCCTGGGGGGAGATGGGAGATTACAATACTGTATTAAAAAGAAAGTCAGGGTGGGCCTCATTAAGGGTGCTGATATTTCAGCCAAAACTTGACAAAGGTAAGAAAGTTGACCACTTTCTAGAAAACAGCATTTCAGGCCAAGGGAACAAGAGAGATATTAAGGCTGGCATGCCTGGTGTATTCAAGGAACAACAAGGAAAAGATGTCGCTGAAGTAGGATAAGTGAAAGCAGGAAAATAGCAGGAGATGAGGTTGGGGATGTGGAGGGCCAGTGGTGATATAGGGCATGGGTGGTCTTAGAAACTATGGTGAGGATTTTGACTTTCGTTCTGGATGAAACAGGAACCATTGCAGAGTTTTGAGCAGGGGACAGATGGGATCTATTTATGCCGTAAGTCAGGTCAACTATAATAATAAATATTGTAAATGATTTAAACTTCCCTGTTGTAAAAGAGAAATTATCAGATTCATTCAAACGTGATTGACATAGAAAAGCTGAAATTTAAGGATTGAAAGAAGATGTAAAGGAGAATGATAGCAAAGAGAAAACAGCAGCAGCAGAATTAAAATCATACAAAACCAAATTCGAGGCAAAAAAATACAAAGGACAAAGAAGAGTGTATCATATTGGTAACAAACACAATCACTAGAAAGTTATGGTAGTTTACAGATTTTTAGAGAGACTAAAAATAACATCAGATATGTAAAGCAAAAACTGAAATTCAATTAAAATTACAGCCCAACTAAATTAGTCATGTTAGGAGACTTTAACACATCAAAAAGATAAGTATTTCATAAAAAAGAGGATTTAAATAATAATATCCTTGAATTTGTATCCATTGTATCTTTGTACATATGTCCCTAACAAAATATCATTACTTACAAACACTAATGGAAGATTTGTTTTGAAAAATTTACTATGAAGTAGACCCCAAAGAACATCTCAACATAGAGATCATAAGGCTACATTCTCATTGTGTAATATAATAAAACCAGAAATAAGCAATAAAAGGGATGGCAAAAAAATTTAACTGCTTGGGATTATAAAACTTTTATTGTAGTAAAAGATGAAATCAAAACGAAAGGTATAGACCATAGCTGTACAAAAATACAAATGTAATAAAACAATGAATTTAAACCAAAGCACAATTCTAAGGAATATTTATATCTTTACAGACCTCATAGAAAATGTGAATGCTTAAAAATAAAATAAGCATTTATCTTTAAAAACTAGATAAAGAACAATAGCAAAATGTAAATATAGGAAAGAAATTTATAAAAATAAAAATTGGAATTAATAAAGTTGTAAACAAAAATCTGCATTGATAATATTTATTGGGTGTCTACTATATTTGAAATGCTGTTTCAGGAGCTTAACTCATTTAGTACTGTTATGATCCTCATTTTATAAATAAAGGAAGCACAAGGAGAATAAGCAACTTGCTCCCAATAGCACAGCTCCCAAGTGACAGAGGCAACACTAGGATTCCATCCCATTCTCCATCACTGTGCTCATTGTCAGGTCCACATTCCCTGTCCACTTCTCTTTTCAGTGCTATGCTGAACAATGGGTTCTTTATGGAAACTCTGCCATACTCACTCAAATGACCCTTTTTATTTGATGCCCCCCAAAAAACAAACTGTCAGTTTTAATATATAAACCTTCACATCTAGATAAAAATGGAAAAATGTGCCTAAGTAAATTTTGACAATTTATATATTTTACTTAGCTATAGTCAAGCTCTGCCACCTTCTTTTTTAATTGACTCTTTTTTAAAATAATGCTGCTATAAATATTTGTGAGATTTTGTGTGAACATAAATTTTCTTTTAAAAAATTTTAACTGATAATTATATTATGGTGTACAATGTGCTGTTTCAAAACGTGTACATTGTGAAATGAACAAATCAGGCTAATTAACATATCGATCACTTCACATGCTTATCATTTCTTTGTAGCAAGAACATCTACTCTTTTTAGTAATTTTAAAATACACAATACATTATTATTAACGATAGTTACCATGCTGTGCAGTGCATCACCAGAACTTATTCCTTCTGTCTAACCGAAACTTTATGCCCTTTGACCAATTCCCCCTTTGCTTGCATGGCTTTCCCAACCCTCATGGCCTCTGATAACTGACATCCTACCCTCTACTTCTATGAGTTTAACTTTTTTAGGTTCCACATATAAGTGAGATCATACAGTATTTGTCTTTCCATACTACCTACCTTATTTCAATGGCATAATGCCCTCTAGATTCCTCCCCCTCTAGATTTATCCATGTTGGTGCTAATATAGAATTTCCTTCTTTTTTAAATATTCCATTGTGTATATATACACCATATTTTTCAAATCCATTTGAATATCCATTGATGAGCACTTATATTGTTTCCATATCTTGGCTATTGTGAATAATGCTGCAGTGAACATAGGAGTGCAGACGTCTCTTCAACATACTGATTTCATTTCCTTTGGGTATATACCCAGAACTGGGATTGCTGGATCATATGCTAGATCTATTTTTAGATTTTTAGGAACTATCCATACTGTTTTCCAAAGAGGCTGTGCTAATAATGTACATTCTCAGCAACCATGTACAAGGATTCCCCTTTCTCCACATTCTTGTGATTGGCCCTCGCTTGTGTCTTTTTATTATTGTCTGTGTTAAAATCACTTTTCCCAAAAGCTGGAAGCAAACCAAGCCACAGGAAACTGGTAAATTTTTCCCACTTATTTTTAGATCTGATAAAATTTTTTAAAATGCTAAAGTAATTGTCTCTAATGAAACACTTACATTATGTATAGTTTTACTTTTTCCTTAATAATCCTTATCATCTAGTACCATGAATTGAGATTTGACTTTCCTTGGGAAGGAAGAATATGTATGCATGCTTGTTCATCTGCATGTGTGTATAACAAAGAGACTGAGGTTTACTTAACAATAGAAAAGAAAGACCATTTTTATAATATAGTTATATATAGGTAAAGAAATACAACCTCATATTCCAGCTCCCTTCAGCTAATCATACTACTATGAAGTCCTCGCCACAGCACACCAAAAGTAAAACTTGTGTTGACAAAGATTTCAACCACTGTTCCTGAGTTGGTCACTATATGTCTATTTATATTCTTGTGTGTGTCTGTGTGTGTATATTATGTATATATGCATATAAAGATAATTATGTTTAGATATGTAAACACATATATATACATATAACATACACACACACATTAACTTGTGCAAATGAATATAAACACATGTACTGGTGCTTTCATAAAATATAATATATTCCAAATTGAGTTCTGGATTCAATTTGTATGTTCAGTTTTACTCTGTTTTCCCCTGAGAAAGCTTTTAAATATATCTGAGGCAAAAATGTGGTAGTTTCAGCTGTTCCTGCAACCACTTTCGCTATTTGTGTCATTGTTATTGCTGCATAATCTGAACATAAAAAAAATGGTGCTGTAACAAATGACTTCCCACTACTGACAGTTATAGCAGCAGCATTTCAATACTGATGAAAAATTTCCCAGCAAGATATCTGAACAGGTTTACATAAACCAAACAGGAAATGGCTGCCACTATTCACATTAAATCCAAACCGTTTGGTGTAACTTTATCTATGTTTTACATTAATATAAAACCTCTTTCATTCTCAACTGGTGAAATTTCATCAGTATTAAGATTTGAAAAAGTAACTTGAGATTTCATATGTAGTATTCTTGTTTGTCCTTTGATAAGATCTTTTAAAGATAATTTTTGAAAAACTTTTTAGTTTTTGATTCTTTAAATTTTACGAACTTTGTAAATTTTTATGATAGGGAGAGGTTTGTTATGACTTTTTCCCAATGGACTGCTAATAGAAGTTAGCTTGTGTAGCCCATGTGCTGGATGCTGTCAGTATCAAACTGCCTTTGACTTTCACACCTCTCAGGGGACTAGTAATTGTTGTGTTCAAACAGCCTGTAATTGTGATCCCGCTGGCTTTCTCAGTACGCTTCTGGCTATTAGAATCATTAAACAACTCAGCACCTGTTAACAGCATTGTAAATATTCAACCCTGCTTGTGTGCAGGTTGAGTCCAATATAGAGAAGTCTTACAGAGCTCAGTCTCATAAATTAGAGCTTCTGACAAGTCAATTATTGTGAAACTGGGTTTCTCTGTGAAATAAATGAAATAGCATGCTGACAAAAAGGTAGGCTGTCCGTTTATGGCAAAGAGAAGATAATGACTTGATGATTCAATGCAGTGAACATAAAACTACGTTTTATCCTTTACCCATAATTAAACAGTTGTGAAATGTTTGTGTTTAAATAACCAGTAAATTACAAATTTTGTACTGTGGAGAGTGCAACATGAAAACAGACCTTTTTACTTAGCTGTTGCATGCTTTTTCAAGTTAGTAAAGTGATTATTAAAATTAATGATATGTAATGTTTTAAGCTAAATGCTTATAATTGTTCAGGCTAGAAGATGCACAGTAACTAAAAAAAGTTCACCTCATAGAAGTAAAGGCTGTATTATGCTACTAATCGAGAGCATATAAATCTGTACTCTATTCCTTATTCACAGAAAAATTCAAAATATATTAACTCCCAAAATTTTATGTAACCTAAAAAACTTCATTTACATTTAAATTATTTTATAGTGTCTCACAAATTGTATATCTAATTAAGATGTAACAATATCTTACTTTTATAAGGATTTGAAAATATTTTAAATGACTTTAGAATCTCAGTCCAAATATTGACCAAGAATAGTATTTGGTAAAGATCAGTGAAGTTCAATTTACTTGAATTGAATTTTGTATTTCTTCTGTTATGCAAGTCAATAAGAATGTTGGTGACCACATTTAGAAAAAAAAACTGTGTTAAGAAAAAATAACAGTGAAACATTTATGTTTTCTGCATGAAGAAATGTGAACTTTTAGCAAGTTAGATTATGAATAATATTTTAGTGGTGTCATCATATAATTTATTGTAATCTCAGAAACATCATTTAGGTTGATTTTTTTTTTTTTTTGGTGACTTACTTTAAATGTTTAAGATATATTTACCCTGACTATATTTTATCTGGATGAAAACCACAGATTTGTCTTTAAAAAGTCCCAATAGGCTTAAATAAACAGACTTTAGAAGGGATATTAATCCATTGAAATATACCTTGTAAATACAGTAAACAAAATAAAGCAAATACAGTAAATAAAATAAGATAAATATTTAAAAGAACCTGTAATTTTTTCAAGGAAAGTTTTTTTTCATTGATAGTTTTAAATATTATTTGTAAGTGTACCAAATTTATTCATTAAAGCATAAAAATGGTAAAGTTGACATCCCAGTTATATATAGGACAACGGCTGATGGTAATCCGTAACAGGATCCATTAGTTTTCAAACGACCTAGTAAATGGATAGATAAAAATAGTATTTTAATTTTTTTGTATTTCACAGTAATATTTTCAAAATATCTTCTTTCTGTAATGTCAGTTGCATAAAGAATTGTTTGTTCCAAGATCAAGGCAGACAGATTTGGTTTAAAAAAAGAATAGTTTGATTCTTACTCTACAAATCCTACTACTTAGTATCCTGGGCACATTTTGACTAGTGTTTTGAATTTAGAAATAACTTTATCAGCTATGTATTAGTCCTGACAGCTAAAAATAGTATTGGAAAATTTATAGGCTTAGTAAGCCAAAAGAATGTGAAATACAAAGTAAGCACTTATATTGTAGAAAGTTTGACTGATGAATTTCATTTCTTGCAAAACAATGAAAGAGAAAAAATATTTTAAAAATTTTGAATGACTTTGGATATTTGTATCTTTTATATGGCTTGAATGTCCAGAATTTTTATTTTCACCTCTAAAGCAGAAGACATTATTCTAACTACTCCTCCTTAGTCATTTTCCAAAAGAAAAGAAATATTTTCTAATGGTTAATAATTTTGGTTTTTCACTTCCATATATGCTTAGACATAAATTTGAACATTTTGTTTAAATTAATGACAGCACTAGGTTCAGTACTTATTTATCTCTTAATTGATTAATATTGCTTTATTTAGGTACATGCCAAGAGCTTTTCTAGAAAAAGCAGTAACTTTTCAATAGATCAAAATTAAAGTAACTTCCTTTTTAATGGAAGTAATTTTCCCAAATAAATTGCAATAGTCTTTTACTATAATAATTTTTATGTAATGGGGCCTCTCATATTTGGGTGTACCTAGCCATTTGCACTAACTTTTCTTTCTAATGAAAATATGTCCTGACATTATTAGTCCTGCTTTGTGTATTTTTAAATAATTTTTTTATAATTTACTGACCCCAAGTCTCTTCCTTTGAAGAATGAAAAATATCACAAAAATTGTCATCTAGATAGTGTTCTCTATTGCTCTCAAGTTGTGGCTTTCTTTAGTCCTCTCCCATTTGAAATTGTTAGCACCCTTTTCCCAGACTATGAATATTCCCTTCCTAGTCCTGTACAGATGTAAAACCATCATGATGGGGTCTTAGGGATGAGAACCGGTTCTCTAAGACCACTTTCCACTGCCATTCTTTGATGTGGATGGGGAAAAGGGAGGTAGGGCATATAAATTACCCATGCTGACTAGGATATAGGGTTCACCTAGTAGGAATTAGGGAACTGCCAAGATTATGGGTGTAGTCCCTTGCTCTTCGGATCTGTTTCCAGGCACAGATCCCTAGAGGCCATGGGGTTTTGCCAAGAACTTCTCAGTGTTGCAGGGATGCACATTCAGGTGAAATGTATGTCTTTAGGCTTTTTGCTTGGAAAATATACAGAGCTGGACTTATGTATTTTTCCTGTATTAAGACTTGGTTAGAATGCTTTATTTTTACCCTGATGATGTCCCTTCTAGTCATTAGGATGACATTTATTCTGTAAGCACTAGGGGAACAATAATTGACTGAATTGCCTAAAAGAACTCATCTACCACCCAAGATTAATATTTCTGTGAGTTTTGTGATGTTACTGAGGATAGGTTTTATAATAAAAGGGGATTATATTTATATATATTCTGTGAAACTGAGGTGATAGTTTTAGTAGAAAATGTCTTGAAACAAATAATAATAACCTTGCTTGTTTTCTAGCTATTACAATTTGGGTGATGTGAGCCATGATTCTGTGAACAAGTTTCTGTCCCATCTGATTGAGAAGTCCCTGATTGAATTGGAACTTTCCTACTGTATTGAAATTGGAGAGGTATGACTTAGTCATATGCATTCTAATTGAAAAGATTGCCCAGCTTTTTGACAGGTCTTTTGCTTTTAATACTATCAAAATTTTTTAAAAAATTGTTTCAAAAGCACCTGTCTGAATTATTAATTTTATAAAGATATGTACTTTCATCGTACTCTTCATTTGTTATTCTTTTGAAATAGGATAATCGCAGCATTGAACCTCTAACTTATGGCCGAATTGCCTCCTATTACTATTTGAAGCATCAAACAGTTAAAATGTTCAAGGACCGCTTGAAGCCTGAATGCAGTACTGAAGAACTGCTTTCAATTCTAAGTGTGAGTTTTTCATATATTTCATATCTTCTCTTTTAATTTAGGGCTTAAAGTTTTGCCACCTAGTTTGTCTTGAAATTTAACAGAAACCATTTGTAAAGCCCTTTCCTCTGTCAAACAAGGTCACTACAAAGCAACACATCTAGACTAAGATACCCATAGATAAGGTGACCACATAATTTATGATCCAAACTTGGATCCTTCTGAGTGTGGAATGAGGTCCTATTAATATTTAAGCCAGGATAGTAGATGTAAACTGGACTGTCCTGAGCAAGGCAAGTCATCACCCTATCCTTAAATATAATAGCCTCTTTGAATTATGATTGAAAGCTTTTCTTATTACTTTTTTGGATAGTTCCTGTTGAATACTTAGCTGTGATGCTACTGAAGTTTCTTTCATAAGCATCCACACAATTAAGTTCTTAGAATTAATGTCAGGACAGCTGTTTATCCCCCATCCCCACAAACACCCTTACCAAAAAAATGACCACAGATATATCACATGGTAAAAAACTATACTGTGTTCATTTTTCCTTTTTTTGCCAAATAGCTAAGAAATTAATATTAGAAGCATCTTGTCCACCTTTCCTTCTACATAATGTCCCCTTCTGGCTTTTTTTCCCTTTGTTGATTTTAAGTGTAATAATTTACCACAAAACTTTGTTAACACATTAGTTAGGATATTCATATATTCTTACTGTTATCTTATCCTTCAGATGTGTTGGTGCTTTTTAGAAAAGTTAAGAACAATTGGACCATTCTGTCTTTAAAGTCCTTCTCTTATAAATTCATTGACTCTATGGTAGTTCACTTAGTAACTTTTTTCCTTCCTCTCCTATTGCTTTATAATTCTCAATAAGCTTCAATATCCCATTCACAGTTTTTCAATTTCTCAGTTTTTTCCCCTACAAGAAACTAGTTTGTAAATTTTGTGCCCAGCATAGTGCCATGTACATTTTAGTGAGTTTGAAAATTTTTATTAATGAATTAACAGATGGAAGGATAGGTAGATCCTGTAATAATCAGTTTTCTATTCTTTGCTCTGTAGAAAAGAATAGAGGACTAAAGTATATAAGGCAGCTACCAAAAAATATTTTTTAAGAAAGTAAAAATTTATTTCTGATAGAAGAGTACAAAATATAAAGAATTTTTTAGATCCTTAAGAATGAGATTTATATCAGCTCCTAGCCAAAGATTCATAAAAGTAGGATTTCTCTGGGGAAGAGACTGTTGGCACAGGCAGCAAAATAATGGTTAATTTGGGCATGCCTCTTAAATTAGTATCTGTTAGATTTAAGAATATAACTTCTTTCGTATTTATCTAATCTCACATTTAACCATACTTTTCTGCCTTGGAAACATGTATGATAACAGCTAACACCTTTGAGCAGTTTTTTGAGCTAGACATTAAGAACTTTAAATTAATAAACTAATTTAATCCTCACAACAACCACTTATTTGATATTAATAACATCCCATCATTATTCCCATTTTAAAGATTAACCATCTTGTCCAAAGTGAGTGGTTTGCAGTCTAGCACCAGAGTATGGGCCCTGAAACCATCCTACTATACTGCCTCTCAAGTCATACACATATGCACACATGCACATAATTAGGTGGAAAGCACTGAGGTGGGAGATACAAAGTAATTTAAAACTAGATACATGCTGTAAAGGAAGTTTGTGAAAATCATATGCCTACTACATTCTGTACCCCTGTTTACTCCACTAAAAAAGCCAAAAAAAACCTTAAAATCCCAGGGGAATTAAACGTTTGTTTTAGTCTTCTCTTTGAAAAGGTATTGATCACAAAAGGTCTGTTCCCATCCTGTCAGCAGCATGTTTCTTTCTGGCATTACACTATATAAAACCAGTTATGCCGGTATATTTTTGTTAATTAAAGTCAGTTCTCCAGTTAATAACTAAATAAATGGAACCATCTGAAAATATGTGTAAGGAAAGCTGTATAACGGAATATTTATATAGATATGGTTTGGTCTACCCCATAAAAATTTCCACAGCAAGAATATCTTCTTCTCCCATGGTGTTTAGTCCAAGGAACTTTCAGCTTGCGCTAGATATTGTCTCAGTCTGTATTATCTCAATGAGGGTTCATTCTGAATGAAGAACCATAGGACTCACATTGACAAGGAGATACGTAGGTATCACACTGTTTTCTTAATTTCTTGCCTAGGAATTATTCTTTGTTCACTATTGAACACTATGTGTAGCTACCAGCAAAATGCTAAATAATACAGCAAGATTGTATAATTGTGGTGTAATTTCCAGAAATCCTTCTTCTTCTTAAGTTTCTTTAAATGACTTTTTTTTTTTTTTACCATGAAAAGACTACCAAATGACTCAAAGAACTCAGTATCCTCCCTACTCTTGCCTCCAAAAATGCATATTAATCTCATTGTGGTTTTAAACTAAGGAGAAAGTGTAGTCAGACAGAAGCTGTAGGGTGCAGGATGATAATAGCATAAGAAGATGAGGAAAGCTGTGGGGATAACATTAGTGTTTCAAAGATCTGTTTCCATTATCATTGCTTTTGTTATTATAATACTTAAGAAAGTCATATTATGTTTTTGTACAATTCACTCATATAACATTCATTGTTAATGCTTCCTTTTACTAAGATACATTCATTGATGTTTCTAAAGTCATTTTTAAACTTTAGTTTTTAAATTTTTAGTATTTCTGATAACATTACAACTGAAAAACTTCTATTCTTTTGAGTATTACTTTGAACTTACCATAATATTTCCTTAAATTTTATTAGTGAATAAAGTTTTCTTATTTCTTAAGCTACCCATTACATTTGTCTTTTGGTTTTCAGGATTTGGGGGTATTAATAACGTATAGAAATTAGGTTCATTAAGATTTTTAGGATCTGATGTAGGGGGAGGAGCCAAGATGGCCGAATAGGAACAGCTCAGGTCTACAGCTCCCAGCGTGAGTGACGCAGAAGACGGGTGATTTCTGCATTTCCATCTGAGGTACCGGGTTCATCTCACCAGGGAGTGCCAGACAGTGGGTGCAGGTCAGTGGGTGCAGCACACCGTGCGTGAGCCAAAGCAGGGCGAGGCATTGCCTTACTCAGGAAGCACAAGGGGTCAGGGAGTTCCCTTTCCGAGTCAAAGAAAGGGGTGACAGACGGCACCTGGAAAATCGGGTCGCTCCCACCCGAATACTGCACTTTTCCAACGAGCTTAAAAAATGGCGCATCAGGAGATTATATCTCGCACCTGGCTCGGAGGGTCCTACGCCCACGGAGTCTCACTGATTGCTAGCACAGCAGTCTGAGGTCAAACTGCAAGGCGGCAGCAAGGCTGGGGAAGGGTCACCCGCCATTGCCCAGGCTTGCTTAGGTAAACAAAGCTGCTGGGAAGCTCGAACTGGGTGGAGCCCACCACAGCTCAAGGAGGCCTGCCTGCCTCTGTAGGCCCCACCTCTGGGGACAGGGCACAGACAAACAAAAAGATAGCAGTAACGTCTGCAGACTTAAATGTCCCTGGCTGACAGCTTTGAAGAGAGCAGTGGTTCTCCCAGCACGCAGCTGGAGATCTGAGAACGGGCAGACTGCCTCCTCAAGTGGGTCCCTGACCCCTGACCCCCGAGCAGCCTAACTGGGAGGCACCCCCCAGTAGGAGCAGACTGACAACTCACATGGCCGAGTACTCCTCTGAGACAAAACTTCCAGAAGAAAGATCAGACAGCAGCATTCGCGGTTCACGAAAAACTGCTGTTCTGCAGACACCGCTGCTGATACCCAGGCAAACAGGGTCTGGAGTGGACCTCTAGCAAACTCCAACAGACCTGCAGCTGAGGGTCCTGTCTGTTAGAAGGAAAACTAACAAACAGAAAGGACATCCATACCAAAAACCTATCTGTACATCACCATCATCAAAGACCAAAAGTAGATAAAACCACAAAGATGGGGAAAAAACAGAACAGAAAATCTGGAAACTCTAAAAAGCAGAGCACCTCTCCTCCTCCAAAGGAACACAGTTCCTCACCAGCAACGGAACAAAGCTGGAGGGAGAATGACTTTGATGATTTGAGAGAAGAAGTCTTCAGACGATCAAACTATTCTGAGCTACAGGAGGAAATTCAAACCAAAGGCAAAGAAACTGAAAACTTTGAAAAAAATTTAGACGAATGTATAACTAGAATAACCAATACAGAGAAGTGCTTAAAGGAGCTGATGGAGCTGAAAGCCAAGGCTCGAGAACTACGTGAAGAATGCAGAAGCCTCAGGAGCCGATGTGATCAACTGGAAGAAAGGGTATCAGCGATGGAAGATGAAATTAATGAAATGAAGCGAGAAGGGAAGTTTAGAGAAAAAAGAATAAAAAGAAACGAACAAAGCCTCCAAGAAATATGGGACTATGTGAAAAGACCAAATCTGCGTCTGATTGGTGTACCTGAAAATGACGGGGAGAATGGAACCAATTTGGAAAACACTCTGCAGGATATTATCCAGGAGAACTTCCCCAATCTAGCAAGGCAGGCCAACATTCAGATTCAGGAAATACAGAGAACACCACAAAGATACTCCTCGAGAAGAGCAACTCCAAGACACATAAGTGTCAGATTCACCAAAGTTGAAATGAAGGAAAAAATGTTAAGGGCAGCCAGAGGGAAAGGTCGGGTTACCCACAAAGGGAAGCCCATCAGACTAACAGCGGATCTCTCGGCAGAAACTCTACAAGCTAGAAGAGAGTGGGGGCCAATATTCAACATTCTTAAAAGAATTTTCAACCCAGAATTTCATATCCAGCCAAACTAAGCTTCATAACTGAAGGAGAAATAAAATACTTTACAGACAAGCAAATGCTGAGAGATTTTGTCACCACCAGCCCTGCCCTACAAGAGCTCCTGAAGGAAGCACTAAATATGGAAAGGAAAAACCGGTACCAGCCGCTGCAAAATCATGCCAAAATCTAAAGACCATCGAGACTAGGAAGAAACTGCATAAACTAATGAGCAAAATAACCAGCTAACATCATAATGACAGGATCAAACTGACACATAACAATATTAACTTTAAATGTAAATGGACTAAATGTTCCAATTAAAGAGACAGACTGGCAAATTGGATAGAGTCAAGACCCATCAGCGTGCTGTGTTCAGGAAACCCATCTCACGTGCAGAGACACACATAGGCTCAAAATAAAAGGATGGAGGAAGTCTACCAAGCAAATGGAAAACAAAAAAAGGGAGAGGTTGCAATCCTAGTCTCTGATAAAACAGACTTTAAACCAACAAAGATCAAAAGACACAAAGAAGGCCATTACATAATGGTAAAGGGATCAATTCAACAAGAAGAGCTAACTATCCTAAATATATATGCACCCAATACAGGAGCACCCAGATTCATAAGGCAAGTCCTGAGTGACCTACAAAGAGACTTAGACTCCCACACATTAATAATGGGAGACTTTAACACCCCACTGTCAACATTAGACAGATCAACGAGACAGAAAGTCAACAAGGATACCCAGGAATTGAACTCAGCTCTGCACCAAGCAGACCTAATAGACATCTACAGAACTCTCCACCCCAAATCAACAGAATATACATTTTTTTCAGCACCACACCACACCTATTCCAAAATTGACCACATACTTGGAAGTAGAGCTCTCCTCAGCAAATGTAAAACAACAGAAATTATAACAAACTATCTCTCAGACCACAATGCAATCAAACTAGAACTCAGGATTCAGAAACTCACTGAAAACTGCTCAACTACATGGAAACTGAACAACCTGCTCCTGAATGACCACTGGGTACATAACGAAATGAAGGCAGAAATAAAGATGTTCTTTGAAACCAACGAGAACAAAGACACACATACCAGAATCTCTGGGACACATTCAAAGCAGTGTGTAGAGGGAAATTTATAGCACTAAATGCCCATAAGAGAAAGCAAGAAAGATCCAAAATTGACACCCTAACATCACAATTAAAAGAACTAGAAAAGCAAGAGCAATCACATTCAAAAGCTTGCAGAAGGCAAGAAATAACTAAAATCAGAGTAGAACTCAAGGAAATAGAGACACAAAAAACCTTTCAAAAAATTAATGAATTCAGGAGCTGGTTTTTGGAAAGGATCAACAAAATTGACAGACCACTAGCAAGACTAATAAAGAAGAAAAGAGAGAAGAATCAAATAGATGCAATAAAAAATGATAAAGGGGATATCACCACCGATCCCACAGAAATACAACACTACCATCAGAGAATACTACAAACACCTCTACGCAAATAAACTCAAAAATCTAGAAGAAATGGATAAATTCCTCGACACATACACCCTCCCAAGACTAAACCAGGAAGAAGTTGAATCTCTGAATAGAGCAATAACAGGATTTGAAATTGTGGCAATAATCAATAGCTTACCAACGAAAAAGAGTCCAGGACCAGATGGATTCACAGCCGAATTGTACAAGAGGTACAAGGAGGAACTGGTACCATTCCTTCTGAAACTATTCCAATCAATAGAAAAAGAGGGAATCCTCCCTAACTCATTTTCTGAGGCAGCATCATCCTGATACCAAAGCCTGGCAGAGCCACAACCAAAAAAGAGAATTTTAGACCAATATCCTTGATGAACATTGATGCAAAAATCCTCAATAAAATACTGGCACACTGAATCCAGCAGCACATCAAAAAGCTTATCCACCATGATCAAGTGGGCTTCATCTCTGGGATGCAAGGCTGGTTCAATATACGCAAATCAATAAATGTAATCCAGCATATAAACAAAACCAAAGACAAAAACCACATGATTATCTCAATAGATGGAGGAAAGGCCTTTGACAAAATTCAACAACCCTTCATGCTAAAAACTCTCAATAAATTAGGTATTGATGGGGCATATCTCAAAATAATAAGAGCTATCTATGACAAACCCACAGCCAATATCATACTGAATGGGCAAAAACTGGAAGCATTCCCTTTGAAAACTGGCACAAGACAGGGATGCCCTCTCTCACCACTCCTATTCAACATAGTGTTGGAAGTTCTGGCCAGGGCATTTAGGCAGGAGAAGGAAATAAAGGGTATTCAGTTAGGAAAAGAGGAAGTCAAATTGTCCCTGTTTGCAGACGACATGATTGTATATCTAGAAAACCCCATTGTCTCAGCCCAAAATCTCCTTCAGCTGATAAGCAACTTCAGCAAAGTCTCAGGATACAAAATCAATGTACAAAAATCACAAGCATTCTTATATACCAATAACAGACAAACAGAGAGCCAAATCATGAGTGAAGTCCCATTCACAATTGCTTCAAAGAGAATAAAATACCTAGGAATCCAACTTACAAGGGACGTGAAGGACCTTTTCAAGGAGAACTACAAACCACTGCTCAATGAAATAAAAGACGATACAAACAAATGGAAGAACATTCCATGCTCATGGGTAGGAAGAATCAATATCATGATAATGGCCATACTGCCCAAGGTAATTTATAGATTCAATGCCATCCCCATCAAGCTACCAATGACTTTCTTCACAGAATTGGAAAAAACTACTTTAAAGTTCATATGGAACCAAAAAAGAGCCCGCATCACCAAGTCAATCCTAAGCCAAAAGAACAAAGCTGGAGGCATCACACTACCTGACTTCAAACTATATACTACAAGGCTACAGTAACCAAAACAGCATGGTACTGGTACCAAAACAGAGATATAGATCAATGGAACAGAACAGAGCCCTCAGAAATAACACCGCATATCTACAACTATCTGATCTTTGACAAACCTGAGAAAAACAAGCAATGGGGAAAGGATTCCCTATTTAATAAATGGTGCTGGGAAAACTGGCTAGCCATATGTAGAAAGCTGAAACTGGATCCCTTCCTTACACCTTATACAAAAATCAATCCAAGATGGATTAAAGACTTAAACGTTAGACCTAAAACCATAAAAACCCTAGAAGAAAACCTAGGCATTACCATTCAGGACATAGCCATGGGCAAGGACTTCATGTCCAAAACACCAAAAGCAATGGCAACAAAAGACAAAATTGACAAATGGGATCTAATTAAACTAAAGAGCTTCTGCACAGCAAAAGAAACTACCATCAGAGTGAACAGGCAACCTACAAAATGGGAGAAAATTTTCGCAACCTACTCATCTGACAAAAGGCTAATATCCAGAATCTACAATGAACTTAAACAAATTTACAAGAAAAAAACAAACAACCCCATCAAAAAGTGGGTGAAGGACATGAACAGACACTTCTCAAAAGAAGACATTTATGCAGCCAAAAAAACACATGAAAAAATGCTCACCATCACTGGCCATCAGAGAAATGCAAATCAAAACCACAATGAGATACCATCTCACACCAGTTAGAATGGCAATCATTAAAAAGTCAGGAAACAACAGGTGCTGGAGAACATGTGGAGATATAGGAACACTTTTACACTGTTGGTGGGACTGTAAAGTAGTTCAACCATTGTGGAAGTCAGTGTGGCGATTCCTCAGGGATCTAGAAGTAGAAATACCATTTGACCCAGCCATCCCATTACTGGGTATATACCCAAAGGACTATAAATCATGCTGCTATAAAGACACATGCACACGTATGTTTATTGCGGCACTATTCGCAATAGCAAAGACTTGGAACCAAGCCAAATGTCCAACAATGATAGACTGGATTAAGAAAATGTGGCACATATACACCATGGAATACTATGCAGCCATAAAAATGATGAGTTCATGTCCTTTGTAGGGACATGGATGCAATTGGAAATCATCATTCTCAGTAAACTATCGCAAGACCAAAAAACCAAACACCGCATATTCTCACTCATAGGTGGGAATTGAACAATGAGAACACATGGACACAGGAAGGGGAACATCACACTCTGGGGACTGTTGTGGGGTGGGGGGAGGGGAGAAGGATAGCATTGGGAGATATACCTAATGCTAGATGACGAGTTAGTGGGTGCAGCGCACCAGCATGGCACATGTATACATATGTAACTAACCTGCACATTGTGCACATGTACCCTAAAACTTAAAGTATAATAATAATAATAATAATAAAAGATTTTTATTTTGGGTCTTCTGAATATGTTGCATTGTGATGATTGTAGGCACAAAAACAATAAGCTAGAAGGTAATCATAAATTGGAAAAAAAAAGAATATTAAAACATCTATTCACTTTTACCAAACATTTCTAAATATATAAACCCATTATTTCTCTTCAATTATCATCAAAACATAGTTTCAAGTGATGATCTCTTGATTGTATCTAGTCCTAACTGATGGTACCTTCTTTTGGACCTTTTCTTCCTTTAGAGAATATAAGTATTTATAATCTTGAACTGAGCTATATATTTTTCTCTCTTTAAAAAAAAATGAGTTAGAATTCTTACGCTTTATGTAGTCAATTTAAGTGTTACTATTAACTTTTCTGAAATAAGAATTAGCATTTCCAGAATACAAAATTAGTGTACGCAAATCAGTAGAATTTCTGTACACCAACAACATTCAAGCTGAGAGCCAAGTCAAGAATGCAATCCCATTCACAATAGCAACAAAAAGAATAAAATACCTAGAAATACAACTGACGAAAGAGATAAAAAATCTCTATAACGAGAATTGTAAAACACTGCTCAAAAAAATCAGAGTTGACACAAACAAATGGAAAAACCTTTCGTATTCATGAATAGGAAGAATCGCTATTGTTAAAATGGCCATACTGCCCAAAGCAATTTATACATTCAGTGCTATCTCTAACAAACTACCAATGACATTCTTCACAGAATTAGGAAAGACTATTCAAACTTTATATGGATCCAAAAAGAGCTGGAATAGCCAAGGCAATCCTAAACAAAAGGAACCAAGCTGGAGATATCATGTTACCTGACTTCAAACTATACTACAAGGCTACAGTAACCAAAACAGCATGGTGCTAGCAGAAAAACAGACATAGACCAATGGAACAGAATAGAGAGCCCAGAAGTGAAGCAACACATCTACAACCATCTAATTGTTAACCAAAAAAAATGGGAAAAAGACTCCCTATTCAATAAATGGTGCTGGGATAATTGCCGAGCCCTATGCAGAAGATTGAAATAGGACCCCTTCCTTACCCGTATACAAAAGTCAAGTCAAGATGGATTGAAGACTTGAATGTGAAACCTAAAACTACAAAAACTCTGGAAGATAACCCAGGAAATACCATTCTGGACGTAGGCCCTGGCAAATATTTCATGAAAAAGATGCCGAAAGCAGTTGCAACAAAAACAAAAGTTGACAAATGAGACCACATTAAACTGAAGAACTTCTGCATAATAAAACAAACTATCAGTAGAGTAAACAGACAGCCTACAGAATGGGAGAAAATATTTGCAAACTATTCCTCTGACAAAGGTCTAATATTCAGAATCTATAAGGAACTTAAGCAAATTAACGAGCAAAAAAAAAAAAACAAACAACCCCATTAAAAAGTGGGCAAAGGAGATGAATGAACAGATACTTTTCAAAAGAAGATATACGTGTGACCAACAAGCATAGGAAAAAAAGTGCTCAACGTCACTAATCATTAGAAAAATGCAAACCAAAACCACAGTGAGATACCATCTCACACCAGTCAGAATGACTATTATTTTCAAAGTCAAAAAACAACAGATGCTGGTGAGGATGCAGAGAAAAGGCATCATTTATACACTGCTAGTAGAAATGTAAATCAGTCGTTGTGGAAAGCAGTGTGACAATTTGTCAAAATATGTTGCTGGTAGAAATGTAAATTAGTTCAGCCATTGTGGAAAGCAGTGTGTCGATTTCTCAAAGAACTTAAAACAGAACTACCATTTGACCCAGCAATCCATTATTGGGTATATACCCAAAGGAATAAAAATTGTTCTGCCGTAAAGACACATGCACGCATATGTTTATTGCAGTGCTATTCACAATATCAAAGTTATGGAATCAACCTAAATGCCCGTCAACAGTAGACTGGATAAAGATAATGTGGTACATATACACCATGGAAAACTATGCAGCCATAAAAAAAAGAATGAAATCATATTCTTTGCAGAAACATGGATGGAGTTGGAGGCCATAATCCTACGTGAAACACAGGGATAGAAAACCAAATACCACATATTCTCACTTATAAATGGGAGCTAAACATTGAGAATACATGGACACGAAGAAGGGAACAACAGACACAAGGGCCTACTTGAATGTGTAGGCTGGGAGGAGGGAGAGGATCAAAAAACTACCTATTGAGTACTATGATTACTACCTGGGTGACAAAATAATCTGTACCCCAAACCACCACAACACACAATTTACCTGTGTAACAGACTTGGTCATGTACCCCTGAACCTAAAATTAAAGTTTAATTAATTACTTAATTGATTAGCAGAAGATTGTCAGAATTGGTAAAAATTCTATATGTTATGCCTGTTTATACCTTATCCTCTGAATTCTCGCCTTTTATGTTCTTTTTCTTTATATGTGGAATGATTGGGGTCAGCCTGGTAGTTTTCAGAATGATATTATATTGACAATATCACCCTTTGACCAAAGAATGGAGACAACAGACAGTTTCTGAGTTTGCAGATGAAACTGAATTCTTCCAAATAGTATAGAGCTAAGCTAAAGGAAATTGTCTAAAGAAATATTTTAAGAATATATTGCAGTGTGCCTGTCTTGGATAGCTTATCTTTAAGTATTACTCTCCATTTTTTCATACTCAATTTCGTTGCTCACTATTCTACCCACAGACTATATACTGATTCATCAAAAAATATATTTATTGTGTGTCTACAATGTGTAAGGCACTTTCTAAGGGCAAGATACAGAAGAATGAACATTAGTGACAAACTTCCTATGTGTATGTGTGAGAGAGTGTGTGTGTGTGTGTGGGTGGGTGGGTGTGTGTGTGTTCACACACAGATAAATTATGGGCAATGGTAGTAAACCATGAAAGACACTTGCACTTTGGTGTTGCTGCTGACGGAAGTCATCAGCTCAGTGTGATGCTCTAAGGATGACAGCAGGTGTTGCCCATTATCAAAAAGAATATCTAAAAACAAAACAGGAAATAGTATTCTGTTCTTTATGTTAATCGTCCATATGGAGAAGACTTGCTATATACATTTCCGGTGGCCTCAGATCAAAAGGACATCAGAGAGAAAGTCTGAATGTGTCCAAAGTGAGTTACTCGAATGTTAGAAGACATGTGATTAGAGTACTTTGGTCTAGGGAGGCAAAGGCTTTGAATCAATGGGACCAAAATTGAAATCATGAATAGAGGCCCTCTTTGGATCTTGAAAACAGTAACTTTTTCACAGTTAGTAGGAGGTTCCATCTGATTTATTACTTCAGTTGACAGATATAATATAGGCCAAAAATTTATAGATTCAAAAAGAGATGGGATAAATTTATTAAAAGTTACTAAAGAACTAAAATAGAAAATGGAATTGTGCTTGTCATATTTGGTGTGATAGGTGATTTTTTTTACAACGTAGGGATCAGGATTGGACCTGCCTGGCATTTGCATGAATTTTTTTCTGTTGGAGCTCTGGATACTTTAGGAATATTTTTATTCTTCAGAGTATTGTGGGCTTTTTTTTTTTTAATGTGGCAGTCTGTTAATACTTGCAGATACTAATTCCTGTTGATTATTATTCCATTATATGAAACTACTCCAGTCAACAGTGAGAAGGAAAATACACTTCCACTCATTTTTTTTTTCTCCTGTGACATCTCTTTTGAGACTGCTATTTTTATTTATTCTTCTTTCCTTGAAGCTGAGCTGTTTCTGGCTTATGTTTTTAGATATTGTCATCCTTAAATGATAGTAAAATACTCTAGTCTGGGTGGAAAGCAAAGATTCTATCGAAACTTTCTCTTCACTAATCTCCTTCTACAATAGAAACCCATTTATTTTAATCCCATCTTTTCCATACAGCGATTAAAAAATAATAATTACTTTTTACTGAGAACCCACTACATGCTAGGCAGTTTATATACATTATTTATAAGCATCAAATAACCCTTCAAGTTAAGTGTTAATATATAAATAACGAAATTGAATTTTAATCTCATTAAGTTGTTACAGGTTCTATAGAAGGTAGCTCCTTAGAACTTTTTTTTATACCCTATTTCCTTTTCGACATATTCTATCTTTATCCTATTATTTCATTCCAGCTGTAAAAAAATTTTAAAGCATTGACATGTAAGAAATATACTTTTAAAAAATAAAGAACCAGAGTTACTTTTAAAATTATGTATGACCTTGTAACTAGAATTATAAGTATTAAATACAGAGCTTAAGTACTAACAAAATAATTATTTCAGCATTTTTTTATTGAAGACATTATTTTAAGTTTTAAACAATCTGATGCTATTTTGGAAAATGTTAGGTGTTTCATAAGAACCCTTGCCAAGTTTTTTCTAACACCATGAATTAGTAAGCTTCATAATTAAGGCAGCTGCTTCACACCTCTACTGTTAACCGGTGACATTACATCTGTCTTGCTCCATTGATGCCCTCCTCCTAGTTATTGAAGCATTTAGCAGTTTTGGCAACAGGGATTACGTGGCATGGAGTAAGTAGTCTAATTAGATATAAGTAAAAATCCTGAGGGAAAAGGACATTTTGAAAGTAATTTGAAGAATCTCTTAATGATGTTGGCACTGAAATCCGAAGTCCAGAGTAGAAAGTGCCTGTCATCGTGGCAAACCAGGATCATGATCTGATATGTTCAGTGGACTTTTAGAAGGTAGTCTATTTTAAAACTGGAATAGAAATGAAAAGCTTCAAAGTTAGGGAAAATTTTTTTTGAACAGATTTTTTAGAATATGCTGCTATAATATTGACAATTTTGAAAGAAAGCAAAATATGCCCCAAATGTCTTATGTCTCAATAATTTTCAGTTAATTTTTATAACGTACACTCGGTTGTTATGGTTCTTATGACAACATGAAATGAGATTTTATTTATATATCGAATATTAAAAGTAGTGAAATTCTTATTTTCACACAAGCTTGGATATTGACTAAAAGAATGAGTTTCATGTCTAAATGTAAATAGAACTATTCCAAATTTAGAAAAGTACCAGAACAATAGAATTTTTATGTGTCAATAAATGTCTAGGTTTAGCCGTTCTCAGTACTGTTCTCTTTAAAAGCATGCTGATTCTTTGCTCTGCCTGTATATAGAACATTTTCAGTAATACAACATTTTTAATGCTTGAATTTTATCGTGTTTGAGGCACAACTATAAATTGTTTTGTAGGAAAAATTGCAAAAATATCTTTCTCAAACATATAAGGTTGAAAAAATAAGCAAGAATGTTTTTGTTTTTATAAGGGAGAAATTTAAAACTAAATAAAAAGGACAAGCCAGTTATGAATAGCATTGGTGGGGGACCCAGCACGTAAAAAAAAATTAAAGAGTTTGTTAAAGGAAAAATGAAAGAAAGGAAGGTTAACTGAATAATAGTGAACACCTCCAACCTCATGGCCTTCCATTTCCAAATAACCTCCTGACAATCACAGGATCCCATCTGCTACTCTTTATCTTCTTAGTGGGGAAACCTAATGGGATATCTTCCAGGGTTTGCGAGAAGAGCTTCCTTAACCCTCAGGCTGGGGAGCTGCCTGGCATCTTTTGGAGAGGCACAGATGGCAACTGTCTTGAAAAAAGGTATCTTTCTACTTCTCTGGGTCTCTTTCCCTTGAGACCTTCCATGTTGTCCATTATTTCTTAACTTCTAACTTTCTGCACTTATAAGCTTTCTTTAACATAGAGAAATGAAATATTTTCCCGATAGAAGTCCTCAATCTCAAATATATCTATTGTGATTTAGTAGATTATAGGTTTTTAAGCTGTTATGTTCCGACAAGCATAAAATGTATTTGTAATACTATCTGGAATTTGTCCTGTTTTAAATTTTTATTCTTTTTTTTTTTCTTAATTACTTTTCATTTCTTAAACTGTCCCACAGATTAAGGACTGTCAATTACCAGGATTCCAAAGGTTGGTGATTAAATAGGAAATGAGTTTAGATTTAGGAATGAGTTTTAGTTATTTAAGAAATGTGTTTAGATAGCAAAATATATTTATTTTATTTTATACTAGTTTAACAGTCTCATTAAAATAGAAAATGGCCCAACCTTGCCCAAGATGACACAACTACTATGGAAAAATAATATAAAAACTCAGCTCCCAACAGGGAAAAGACAGTGTTAGAATTTATATCTCCCGGGAACCTTTTGAATGTCCTGTCTCTTTTCCCATTTCTGTTTTGTACTTTTCTTTTTTCCTTTTTACATCTTATTTTGCTCTTTTATCTAAATTTACAAAGTAAGGTACATAAAAAGGTTGCACCCATAAACTTCTGTGCCAAAGCTATCTGTAAAAGATACTTTTAGCTTGTCATTTATTAAAGTTTGCTATGTATTCTATCCAATAGTCAGTGCACGTGGGGAATACCAAAGAAACAGAAGATAGATCCGTATTTTTTAAGGAGATTTATACTAGAGCCCTAAAAGCTTAATGAAAACAAAGGGATAAGCTTGTATCTAGTTCTGTGTGCCATTGCTGCTCAATATAGCTTTATGTAAGCATGGCAAGTGTTTAGTTCTACCTTCAGCATTCAAGGCAAAAGGAGTTGCTGACATTGTCCTCCCCCAAAGAGTTACCAGCCTATCCTATGGGCAAGATTGGAACACCAAGCTCCCCGGGGCATATAAGAACATTTACAAAGGGTACTCCAACTAAACATTTTTAAATCGCAAACGCAATCTTTATTGGGTTTATATAAGTTAAGTCATATTTATAAAACTTCCATGGTATTTTACTTTCCAGAGAATCTTATTAGGAATTATTTGGCAAAATAAATTATTATTAATCTGGTTTTGAACATTTTTTAATTATCGGTAGTAAGTCTCTGCTTAGTGATATAATAACTACGTAGAATTGTCATTACACAAGCAATCATGTTGGAGAAATAAAAATAACACTGAAGCATATTATCTTACTGGAAATAAAATTTCTTCCCCAAATTTTAACCACCTCTCACTCTACGTTGAGTAAGTAGAACATTGTTTAGATTTTTTAAATAAGTGGAAAATATGGAAACTTTAATGTTGAATTAAGAATATTAAAATCTAATTTTCATATGCTAGAAATTGGCTTCTGCTTAAATGTTTCTAATTTCATCCCAATAAAGTTTAAGTACTCTAAAATTGTTAGGGTCTCTTTGGTCCAGCAGGTGGGGCAATTCAGAAATCACTATGACCTCCTTCCTCCATGAATAATGGTGATTACAACTGTTTCCAAAAGATTCATGATTCATGTCCCAGATGTCTCCTCAGTACAAATAATACCAAAATGCTGTTTTAACTAAAAATCATATTATCCTACTTTTTATCCTCAGAAAGCAGCCCAGTAGGTAAATAGGAGTGATCATTTCCAATATTTAAGGCCATCTGAATATGTTTCAGTATCATTTTTATGTAACAGAGAAAAAGAAAAATTAAGCATGCCAACATTCAATCCAACCCACTATAAGCAGAGCCCTACAATATTATGTTACTTTGGAAACAGAATTTTAAAAGGAAAAAATAATCATGGAAAATACCCCTTCATGCTGAGGGACAGACAGCCTTTTAGGTTAGCTAAAATGCCAGACCTTTTATTTATGTAACAATGTTTCATTCCAGCTGTAAAAAAATTTTAAAGCATTGACATGTAAGATATATACTTTTAAAAAATAAAGAACCAGAGTTACTTTTAAAATTATGTATGACCTTGTAACTAGAATTATAAGTATTAAATACAGAGCTTAATTACTAACAAAATAATTATTTCAGCATTTTTTTGTTCATTCACTATGTACTTTAAACAACAACAACAACAACTATGTTAACACAGATTAGGACAAAAATTTTTGTAAATTATTTATTATGAAGTATATCCTAATGTGTTTAAAAACAAGTCATTATGTTTATCTCCTTGCTTTATTGAATCTTGTTTTATATATAATACTACTTTTATAAGTTTTTAAAATTGAAAACAGAACAGTTACCCTTTCTTAGTTTGTTTGTTATTTCTGGCAGTATTTCCCTATGCCCTATTCCCTTTTCATTGGTTGTTATCAGACCACCAGTAGTCCTCATACCTTAGCTATTATTTAGCCTGTCTTGGTGCATTCAGGCTGCTACAAACAAAAATACCATAGAATGGGTAGCTTTAATAACAGATATTTATTTCTCACAGTTCTAGAGGCTATGAAGTCCCAAATCAAGGAATCAGCAGATTCAGTGTTTGGTGAGGGCCTTTCTCCTGGTGCAAACATGGCCATCTTCTAGTTGTGCCCTCACATGGCAGAAGTGGTGAGAAATTTCTCTGGAGTCTCCTTTATAAGGGCACTAATCCCATTCATGAGAGTTCTGCTTTCATGACCTAATCACCCCCTCCCCAAAGCCCCCACTTCCAAACACCATCACACTGGGAGTTCAGGTTTAACATATTAATGGGGGGGGATACAAATATTCAATCTATAGCATCGTCTATATAGAGATTTATATCTCCTGATCATTTTCTCACAAGTCTTACTATAAGAGTCAATAGTCCATGTGCAGAAAGATTGCAGAGCTATATCTTTTGTGGTGTCACCACCATTTGTGTATATTGCCACATCACATTAGCTTTTCACATTAAATGTTACATTATAAAAGAGTTTCTGCCTGTGGGTGATAACTCTAGTTTTCACTGACTGCCATATTCCACGAAGTTACAAAACAAACCTGCTGTGAAGAAAATTTTGCATATTAGCTTATCTATCATCTAGTCAATTCACTAAGGTTATAATTCTGATCATGTAAGCTTAGTTATTATGAGCCTGGGTTCTGAAATCAAACCTGAACAGTTTCGAATACTATCTCTGCCACTTTCTAGACCTTGGACAATGGTACTTACCCTCTGAGCCTCAGTTTCCTCATGAGGTTATTGGAATGATTGCATTAGTTTATATACGTGAAATGCATAGAACAATTTTTTGCTTATTTGCAATAATCAGTAAATGTTAGCTATTATTTAATAATAATATTTATTGAGCACTTATTATATTCCAGCCATGGAGGATACAGCAGAAAACCGGGCTAGTGGTTCCAGCACTCATGGACCTTATAGTTATAGTGGAGTTGGCCAAGAATAAACACACATGTAATTTCAGGTGAATATAAGTGAGATATGGGGAAAACACGGTAATAATCAGAAGATAATTAGAGGACGCTGTTATTAATAGGATAGTTTATGATGGTAAAGGAATGCCATTCTGAGAAGATGATATTTGAACAAAGAACTAAATAATATGCAGGAGCAAGTCATGAGAAAGCCTTGGGGAAGAAATCCTGGGCAGAGGGAAAAGCAAATGCAAAGGAAGCAGGAGCTGCTTGGAAATTTCAAAGAATAGCAGAAAAGCCAGTATGCTTGAAGTGGAGTGTACACTGAGAGGGCCTAGGAGGCAGAGGTGACATCATCTAGGGCCATAGTAAGGAGTGTTGATTTTATCCTAAGTGTTCAGAGGAGCCATTGGTGGGATTTTGATCCGATGAGTGATGTGATGTTACTGATAGTGAAAAAGACCATTCTAGCTTTTTTATAGAGAACTGGCTGCTGCAGAAAGTCCACATGAGAGAAGATGGTGGCTTGGATAGAGTGGTTAGAGGTTGAAATGGTGAGTAGTAGTCAGACTCAGGATGTTTTAAAGGTTGAGCCAATAGGAATTAATGATTGATTGATTATAAGTAAAGAATGGAAGATGATGCCTAGGTTTTGGCCTGAACAATTTGGTGAGAGAGAATACCATTAATTGAGGTGAAAAGCAATGAATAAAGAGCAGGGTGTATGTTTGTCTTGGGGAATGGGGGGACTGTGACAGGCATATGGATTCTTTTCCAAGTTTCAAAGTCATTGAATTGGTTGAGATCATCTAGGCAGTCAGTATTGAGCAGAGGTCTAAAGGTTGAGCTCTGAGAATGCTAGCATGTAGACATTGGGGAGAGAAGGAGGGGAAGGTGTGACAACAAAGAAAACTAGGAGTGAGGAACAATAAGCAAAAAGGAAAACATCCAGGAGAGTGCATTGTCCTGGAAACCAGGTGGAAAAAAGTATCTCAAGAAGGGGATGGTCTCAAGAAGCTAGGTATCAAAGGAACATAGCTCAAAATAATATGACAAACCCACAGCCAACATCATGCTGAACAGAAACTGGAATCATTCCCCTTGAGAACTGGAATGAGGCAAGGATGCCCATTCTCACCATTCCTGTTTAACACAGTACTGGAAGTGGTAGCCAGAGCAGTCAGGCAAGAGAAAGAAATAAAAGACATCCAAATAGGAAAAGAAGAAGTCAAACTATCTCTCTTTGGTGGTGATATGATTATATACTTAGAAAACCCTAAAGACTTCACCAGAAGAATATTAAAACCAACAAATGATTTTAGCAAGGTTCCAGGATACAAACTCAGTGTACAAAAATCAGTAACATTTCTCTACACCAATAATGTTCAATCTGAGAGCCAAATAAAGAATGAAATCCTATTTACAATAGCCACAACAAAATTAAATACCTGGGAATACATCTAACCAAGGGGGTGAAAGAACTCTATGAGGAGAACTTCAAAATACTGTTAAAAGATAACATAGATAACACAAACAAATGGAAAAACATTCCATACTCATAGATTGCAAGAATCAATATCATTAAAATAGCCATATGACCCAAAGCAATCTACAGATTTAATGCTATTCCTGTCAAACTACCAATGTCATTTTTCACAGAATTGGGAAAACCTATTTTAAAATTCATGTAGAACCAAAAAAGAGGGCAAATAGCCATGCAATTCTAAGCAAAAAGAACAAAGCCAGAGTCATCACATTACCTGACTTCAAACTATATTAAAAGGTTACAGTAACCGACCGCGCCACGCCTGTAATCCCAGCATTTTGGGAGGCTGAGGAGGGCGGATCACGAGGTCAGGAGATCGAGACCATCCTGGCTAACACGGTGAAACCCCGTCTCTACTAAAAAAATACAAAAAATTAGCCTGGCATGTTGGTGGGGTCCTGTAGTCCCAGCTACTCGGGAGGCTGAGGCAGGAGAATGGTGTGAACCCAGGAGGCAGAGCTTGCAGTGGAGCCAAGATTGCGCCACTGCACTCCAGCCTGGGCGACAGAGCAAGACTCCATCTCAAAAAAATAACAATAATAAATAAAAAAAGGTTACAGTAACCAAAACAGCATGGTATTCCTACAAAAACAGACACATAAACCTGTGGAACAGAATAGAGAGACCAGAAATAAAGCCACACACCTACAGTCACCCAATCTTCAAGAAAGTCAACAAAAATAAGCAATGCAGAAGGGACTCCCTATTCAATAAACTCGCTAGCCCATATGCAGAAGAATGACACTGGACTCCTACCTTTCACCATATACAAAAATTAGCTCAAGGTGTATTAAAGATTTAAATTTAAGACTTCAAACTGTAAGAATCCTAGAAGAAAACCTGGGGAACCCCATTCTGGACATCAGCCTTAAGAAATAATTTATGACTAGGCCGAGGCAATCAGATCACGAGATCAGGAGATCAAGACCATCCTGGCTAATGTGGTGAAACCCTGTCTCTACTAAAAACACAAAAAAAATTAGCTGGGCATGGTGGCGGGTGCCCGTAGTCCCAGTTACTCGGGAGGCTGAGGCAGGAGAATGGCATGAACCTGGGAAGAGGAGCTTGCAGTGAGCTGAGATTGCGCCACTGCAGTCCAGCCTGGGCGACAGAGGGAGACTCTGTCTCAAAAAATAATAATAATAATAATAATAATAATAATAATAATAATTTATGACTAAGTCCTCAAAAGCAATTGCAGCAAAAACAAATTGACAAGTGAGACTTAATTAAACCAAAGAGCTTCTGCACAGCAAAAGAAACTATTAAAAGACCAAACAGACAACCTACAGAAAATATTCACAAACCATGTGTCCAAGAAAGGTCTAGAATCCAGAATCTATAAGGATCTTAAGCAATTGAAGAAGCAAAAAAAACGAAATAACTCTATTTAAAAATGGGTAAAAGACATGAACAGACACTTCTCAAAAGAAGACATACAAGCAACCAGCAAACATGAAAAAATGCTCCACATCGCTAATCATCAGAGAAATGCAAGTCAAAACCACAATGAGATACTATCTCATACCAGTCAGAATGGCTTTTTTTTTTTTTTCAGACAAGAGTCTCACTTTGTCGCCGAGGCTGGAGTGCAGTGGCGTGATCTCTGCTCACTGCAGTCTCTGCCTCCAGGTTCCAAGTGATTCTCCTGCCTCAGCCTCCCTAGTAGCTGGGATTATAGGCGCCCACCACCATGCCTGGCTAATTTTTATAGTTTTAGTTGAGATGGGGTTTCACCATGTTGGCCAGGCTGATCTCAAATTCCTTACCTCAGGTGATCCTCCCACCTCAGCCTCCCAAAGTGCTAGGTTTACAGATGTGAGCCAAGACGCCCAGCCCAGAATGGCTATTATTAAAAGTCAAAAAAAAACAGATGTTGTCAAGGATGTGGGGAAAAGGGAATGCTTACAAACTGTTGGTGGGAATGTAAATTAGTTCAGCCACTGTGGAAAGCAGTTTGGAGATTTCTTAAAGAACTAGAAACAACTACTATACAACGCAGCAATCCCATTACTGGGGATCCAAAAGAAAACAAATCCTTCTACCAAAAAGACACATGCACTCACATGTTTATCTCAGCATTACTCACAGTAGCAAAGACATTGAATCAACCTAAGTGCCCATGAACAGTGGATTGGATAAAAAAATGTGGTACATATACACCATGGAATACTACACAGCCACAAAAAAAAAGAAATCATGTCCTTTGCAACAACATGGATGCAGTATTATCCTAAGCAAATTAACACAAGAACAGAAAACCAAATTCTGCAGGTTCTCACCTATAAGTGGGAGCTAAACAGTGGGTACTCATGGACACAAAGATGACTGTAGACACTGGAGACTGCTAGAGGGGATGAGGGACAAGGGTTGAAAAACTAATTGTTAGGTACTATGTTCAGTACTTGGGTGATAGAATCATTCATACCCAAACCTCAGCATCACACAGTATACCAGGTAACAAACGTGCGTATGTACCCACTGAATCTAAAAGTTGAAAATAATTAAAATTAAGGTACATCTATGCAATGAAATACTGTGCAACCATTAATCCAATGATGTACACCTATGCCTCTAGTCATGGAATGCCATCCACAACATACTGTTTAGTGAAAGGAAAAAAAATTAAGGTACAAACAGTGTATGTAGCTTGAGCCATATATATTACTATGCATAGATATGCATAGTAAAAGATTTAGATGAATGTACACCAATATATTAACACAGATCATCTCTGAGTGGTGGAATTTTAAAGAATTTTTTTCTTGATTATGTGTTTATTGTCTGATGTTTTCAATAAGTAAATTATATATTTAAAATAATTTAAAAGCTATTTTAATTTTTAAATAAAAATTTTCCTATTGTCTAGTCACTAAAAAAACAAGAAGGGGATAGTGATTAACTGAGTTAAAGACTGTTGAGATACAGAGTTAGATGGGAGCTGAGAATATTCTTTCAATTAATAAGATGGAGATCCTAGGCATCTTCAATGAGTAATTTCAGTGGAGGGTTGAAGACAAAAGACTTATTTGAGAGGATTCAAGAGAGAATGAATTTTAAGAAAGTAGAGACAGAAAATACAGCTAGGAGTATCCTTCCTTACATGGAGCTAGGGAGGCAGGGATGGCATGGAATCAATTTTCTTTCTTTTTCTAAAGCTGTTGCAGCATGTTTATATGCTCATGGAAATGATCCCAGGGATGGGGTGGGGAGATAATACAGGAAGAAGCAATGTCCTTAAAAAAACAAAAAACAAATGGCAATCAATGCATAAATGGAATAATTGGCCTTAGGTACAAGTAGAGACAATTTATCCATTGTAATAGAAGATACAGTGTTGAAGTACAGATATAAGGAGGTTGCTGTTGGATAGTGGGATACTGAAGTAATACCCTTCTGTTGACTTTAATTTTTTCATAAACTAAGAAGCAAGATCATCAGCTGAAACTGAGGAGGTGGGGAATGACCTGTGAATGTAGGTAAAAGCCGTTAATACATTGAGGTGGCCATAGTATGGTGGACTTATTAAGGGTATTTGCATTTCAGAAACATGGGTTCGAATCTCAGCATGACCATTTTAACCTCTTTGTGTAACTGGCAAGCTATTTAATCCCTCTAAGCTTCAATTTCTTTATTCATTAAAAAATGTGTGATTATGCCTACCCTATTCATCTTCACAGGTTTACTGTGTGTATCCAGTAAGGTAATTAGATAATTAGTATGTATATGTTTATAAAGCATTATACATATTTAAGGGACACATGTTGGAACATATCTGACCTTACTCTAGACAGGTTTTTGTTTTGTGTTGTGCTGTGTTTTGGTTTAAGTTTATTATTTACGTTTGGCTTTTCTTTTGCATTCAGAGCTGCTTTACTCTGGACACCTTTACATTTTTAGGGATTCAGAACACTTAGTCTCTCCTTGACCATCAGAAGAGCAGCCCTATTGGACTCACTAAGAAACATTTTATTTCATTATTAATGGCTTGGAGGAATAAAAAAAAGTACACAGTCTTGTGACTATTATGCTGCCAAGTAATCTTTGCTCTTAAGAGGCATTTAAAAAAATAAATGTCAATGTGTATATTTAAGGTCTGCAACATGATGTTATGAGATATAAAGTGGTTGCTATAGTGAAAGAAATTAGCATAGCCATCCTCTCTCATAGTTACCCCTTCAGTGGCATTTTCTGAGTTCTCTCTTTTTGGTTGCTCTGCCCTACTCCCTTGTTCCCTTCGTCCTCTCTCCCCAGGTTAATATTTTACTGAAAGCCATGGCCCTGGGGTTTAGACTATGACACGGGAGTGACGGTCTGTAAAAAAATGAACCTTCACTGCCACATCATCCTACCTCCAAATAAAAAAGCAGTAAGGCTCTTTAATGTGACATTATCCTGGCTTTCAGACCAGTGTCTGTGCTCCTAAGAGTGCTCATCTATTTATTTATTTATTTATTTATTTTTAAAAAGCCACTTAGTAATTAGAAGAAATCATAAAGTAATTATTATTAGTAATACTGATTATGGCTGGGTCATTACTCCTTCACTAAGACGCTTTGCAAATGGATTAGCACTTCTTTGAATTAGGAACTTGGGCTTGAAAGCTATGAGGAAGCTGTGTTCGTAAGAAAAATGTTCTTTCTTTTGGGGCTAAGCAGTAATCTGCAAAACAGTCGGGAACCCATTGGAAACCTGGCTGAGAGAAAAATCAGGCAAATCAAATTGGCCATTTTATTAGGCATATATTCATCTGGAAAAATGCAGTTGATTCAATTGCAGTTAAAGCTCTGGTCAATTTAATCCAGTTCTTTGGTAATGCCAACTCTAATTTGGTTGGACTGTGATGTTTAGTATTTATCTTCCTGAATAATTAGGCAAATATTACATTATTTAATATGATACTGGGCAGCAAGGAACCATATTTAAAGTCTAAGTATTTATAAAATATAGTTTTTCAAGAATAAGCCTTTTTGTTACACAAAGCATTACTTCATTTTAGTTTTTAATGAGGGACTAAATGTCCATTTATTCTTTTATACAGGTAC
Organism: Homo sapiens; assembly: GCF_000001405.40. NCBI lineage: Eukaryota > Metazoa > Chordata > Mammalia > Primates > Hominidae > Homo > Homo sapiens. The sequence continues at coordinate 100,564,878 of NC_000006.12, read as the reverse complement.
TGCACTTTTGTAATCTCTTCCTTCTTCTACAACTTATTCTTGACCACCTTTCCTAGTTAGTTCCTCTAGTTTTTCCTTCATTTTCTCCTATTTGGAAGATTATTTGTTCTACACCTATTACTATTCTACATATAATTTTTAAACATAGCCTTTCAACAGTCCAACAAGGATATTTTATATAGCACCTACTATGTTAGGTACAAGAGGAACCATGATAATTAAGATATGATTCCTGCTTTCAGGAAGGGAACCGGCCTATGTCTAAGAAGTGATTGTAGCTTGGTAGTAACAGTCTTGAAAGTGTAACTGGTACCAGCATATCTGGAATATGCTGCAATTCTGGTTATTAAGAACATGGGCTTTTATAATGGATGGAACTGGAGGGCATTATGTTAAGTGAAATAAGCTGAGCATAGAAAGACACATATTACATGTTTGCAGTCATGTGTGAGAGCTAAAATAAAATTGATCTCATGGAGGTAGGGAGTAGAATAATAGTTACCAGAGCCTGGGAGTATGGGGGATGAAGAGAGGTGGGTTAATGCGTACAAACACAGTTAGATAGAATGAGTAAGTTCTAGTGTTCAGTAGCTCAGTAGAGTGACTATTATTAACAAGAATTTATCGTATATTTCAAATAGTTAGAAGAGAAGACCTAGAATGTTTAGATATCCCAGTTACCCTGACTTGATCATTCTACATTGTATGCACGTATTAAAAAAAAAAACACATGTACCCCATGAATATGTACAACTATTATACATAAGTAAAAACTGAAAAAATAAAAACATTATAGTGAAACACCTTAAAAAACAAGGATTTTTTTTAATATTAAAAAAAGAAGATGGGCTTTGGCGTCAAACAGGCATAACTGCACCATTTTCTAACTGTATGACCTTGGACTAGTCACTTAACCTAAGATCCATGCTCCTCTAAAACAAAGGGGAGGATTAAATAAAATAATATGTATAAAGCCTTAGTACATTACCTACCATATGATATCTGCTGTTGCTAGCTTTCATTAGTAATAATATTTTAATATCGATATCAATTTTAATATTTTAATATTGATAGCAAATTTAGATTATCAGTGTATTATAACTTACATAAATCATTTCTACATATAACAAGTATCATTATTCTGTTCTAATAAAAAAACCTTAGATGAATTTACATTCCTTAGCCTTACATATGGGATTGTTCTGAGTCTGGCTTCGGCATTGGGCAGAGTGAGAATAGCCCCCATCTTCAACTGCTCTTCCCCTTTTAATCCCTCATGAAGCTCATGCTAATCCACGTGCGAGGAATGCCTCCTTCCCCACCACAGCCAGGACAGTTTGTACACTTTGGTCAAGACCCACCTCACTTATCATCCATGTGAAACACTAACCAAATAAAAAGGAAACATCATAAATCATTGGTTAAGGGATGGTTTAATTCAACAAGTAGGAGGTGAATCGTATAACTTTTTGGAAAAATATTCAAGTTAGATTCTAATTCTATAGTATACGCCAAAATAAACTTCAGCTAGATTAAGAATTAAAGCCAAGCATAATGTTAAAATTGTATATTCTTCCCCCTTTTAAAATTCTAAAACGGGAAGATGGGAAGAAGCACAAAAAAGAGTTGAAGAAATCGCAAAAGGAAATGGGTAAATGTGCATACATAAAAATATAGAATATATGCATGTCTTTAAATGTAATTTAAAAAGCATTAATATATGTCATAATTCTGAAAGGTAAAAAGGTAATATTAAAAAATTTTAATCATAATATTTAAAAAAATAGCCACTAACACTCCAGTGGTAAAATGAAAAGAAGGCATTTGGTAACAACTTACAAAAGAAGAAATTCATCTTTAACAAATATAAAGAAAATACTCAGCCTTCTCACTGATAAAGGAAATAGAAATTGAAAAAAAAATGGCAACCTTTTTAGCCTATGAAATTGTCAGGGATTCAAAAAGGATAATACATACTGATGATGAGAACACTGTAAGTTGGGCATTCCCTAACACTGCTAAACAGTCTTCATTGACCTGGAAATTTGATATCTATCAACATGTTTATTTTACATCTCTAAAAGATTTGAAACTTGACGTTTCAATTGCATTTTTAGGAATTGATCCTAAGGAATTAAGTGTGCTGTCAAAATGTATGTACACAAATGTATACAAATGGTCTTCACAGCATTATTTATAATAGAAAAAAAAACTAGAAAACTTTTCCGTAAAGACCAGTATCTCTCTTTCAGAATAAATAATTTGTAACCACCAAAACATAAACTTACGTTCTTGAAAGGGAATCAGTGGGAAAAAGTGTTTGTTTTTATACAGACCTATATGCATACTCTAATAGATATTTATGTTTGTCAAACAATAGATCACTTACTAAGTAACTGAATCATTTTGAAAAGCTCTTTCAAGAAAAAAATCTACCTACTGATTAATAATTCTTAGCAGACTCTAGTCTTCCCACTATGAGAAGGCTAAAATGAATATTTTTATGCTGGTTTAAAATATTTATGATAGAAGCCTAGAGGAATTTCCAGTGATACCTTTTGATTTCTAAACCCAAAGAAATGGATATGCTTCATTCTCATACTATGTTTTCTGAAAACTTTTGTTGTTACTACCAAATAAAATACATGGAAATGGTCTTTATTACAGTAGTATTATTCACACATCTGTATTTTATTTTAACATTATATTCTCCTGAAAAAGGATTCCACTTATTTCACAATGTTTTCCAACTGACAGTCCAATGGAATATAAGCTTATCTCAGAAATTTGATTATTTCAGAAAGTTAGAGCTCATTGTGCTTTAAAAAGAAATTGAGGTGTAAGAAGGACTTCACAAATATCATCCTCCTTGGATACATAAAATGTTATGCTTTCTTATGTTCTATTCGTTGTTTTGTGTGTAACTCAGAAAAATAATGCAATTTGCCAGAAGCACTGTAATCTCAGTTTTCAAGTATTTCTGTTGGTAAGAGAGAATTATTCTTCTATGTACACTTGCTTCAACTTTTAGATTTAGGTCTTTTATATCATCTTTTTAAGTATTTTCTGTTATTTATTAAACAGTATAATAAATTTGTAAGATGAATGCCAAACAGGTGTCATCTTTTTTCTGATAGATCAACAAATGAACAGCTCAGAATCAGTGACTGAGCTGACAGTATTACTTTGCTGAACTAAAAGCATAGAAAGTGTTGTGACCTGGAACTACTTTTACTTTTTTAACCAGTGAAGAAGGAAGGAATGAGAGAGAAAGAATCAATTAAGACCTCAAAATAACCTGTGAATGCAGCTAAAATCAGGGAAAAAACAAAGGATAAATAAATTGTCATTTGAGACCCGCACCAAAGTGACGTGGGTGATACCAGACTGAAACTTAAAAGCAGGGTTTTGTTTTTTTTTATAAATCATGGACTGGGAATATGATGTGATAGTTATTTAAAATATTTTTGTTAATGAAGTTTCTACGTATATATGGATTTCAGAATTCAAGGAATTTTAACACAATACATTTAGAACAGTGTTAAAATATATATGTATGTGCATTTATGTATTTCTTTGATGAATCAGAAGACCCCTAAGGCTCTTTAAAAGTCCTGAGGCTATCATTATAAACATCAGCACATTATGGATATATTAACGTGCTAGAGAGCTTATTAATATGGAGCTGATAGAGTCCTGTTAAATACAATTTTGCTATTTGTAGACCAAGCAATGGTTTTTTTTTTTTTTCTTTTTGGAGAAGACAAAAATCTACAGATATCCACCACATCAATGTATCAGTAAAGTTAAGCCACTGAGTCTTATTTTATAAAACAAGTGGTTGGTTGCTATATTTGAGAATTTGGAAATGCATATATACCTGATGTATCCTCATATCACACCCTAGAAGTTTAATGTCTGGTGAATCAGCCCCATATATGCATACCAAACTTAAGAGCTGTACTTTATACCCCCTCAACATATATGTACTTTGTTTTCCAATGTTAAAAGCACCAAGGAAATGCAAACTAAATTGAGGAACTGGGTTAATTTAGCCTACAGTATGTGCTTGCCTGTTATGTGTGCGTGTGTGTGTGTGTGTGTGTGTGTGTGTGTGTGTGTGTGTGTGTTCCTCTAAGATGTTTGGGGTTTGACTATGACTTTAGCCATAAGAATGCATGTTTGCTTTCTCTTGATTCACACAGAGCAGATGGATGCTTGACTGCCTCCTAATCCACAGCTGGAATGGTTTCAGCAGTTGCCACGTTGCCAGGTTAGAGTGGCTTTTCTAGTGGACTGAGAGGGCAGCAAAAGAGGGATATCATTATTCATCAGTATCCCAGTGGGAGTGCTGCCAGCAGAGATTAATTTTTTCTGTTATGCTTGTAAAACAAGCTCAGGTGGAGTCTCTAATCCTCAGGGCACGGGTGGCAGATCAAGGAAGATGCTACAAAGCTAGTTAATTTTCTGATTCTGGGGGAAACAGAAGCTCTGTTAGATGTATAAATACATGATTGCAAATTTAAGTAGCTCAAATCCAAATGGGATCTTCCCTGACATCTGGTACTGAAAATCTCTGTTTTTCTTTGTTGTCTTTAAATATAACTTCTCGAAAGTTTACCCTGGAGCCAAAATATTGATATCTCTAAATATTAGGAAGTGATTAATTTTATGAGTTAATAACTTCAAACATCTAAATTTTGCAAACATTAACTAAAACTAAAACTTTCTGCCTAAACAGACACTAAGTTAGATGTCCAAAGTATATCCACTTACATATATTACCAGAAAGACATAGCATTAGCTATTTGATTGACAGGTGTCATTTTGTTTTCTAATGTATAACCATTCTATTTTTAGTGGTTTTATTTTCATTCTCCCAATTTAAGATTTCCACGTGACACTTGTTTCCCATATCTTATTATATGATCTATCAATATGTTTATCTTTTTGAGTAATGAATATGGGTTTCAAAATAGAATTAAGTGATGTTTTTAACAAATGTAACAGAATTTTTTTTTTTTTTTTTGAGATGGAGTCTAGCTCTGTGACCCAGGTTGGTTGGAGTACAGTGGCACCATCTCAGCTCTCTGCAACCTCCTCCTCCCAGGTTCAAGCAATTCTCCTGCCTCAGCCTCCCAAGTATTTGGGATTACAGGCACCACCACGTCCAGATAGTGTTTGTATTTTTAGTAGAGATGGGGTTTCACCATGTTGACCAGGTTGGTCTTAAACTCCTGACCTCAGGTGATCCTCCCGCCTTGGCCTCCCAAAGTGCTAGGATTACAGGCGTGAGCCACCATGCCCAGCCCTGTAACAGAATTTATACGTCCAATGACTATTGTCTCCTTAGGATTATTTATTTGAAAAGCTGTTTTTATTAGGCTTTGCCATTACAAAAAAATATTAACTCCTTCCAGGCCCTATTGTACATTCTTTTGATTATTTGGGTAGCAAAATGTGGTCCGCTAATGGTTATTTTTCTTTTGTGGGTTTTTTGTTTTGTTTTGTTCATTACCTTTACTTTTGTTTTGAGAAAACAGAAGGAATTTATTTGAAGCCAAGTCAAGTGAGTAAGTTTGTTAAGTCAGGCAATGTAATTTGGAGTTGTAAAAAATCTTGTTTGACTACATGATAATGTGTAGTTCCTAAAGTCATTCTGATTGCAATGCCAAAAAAGAAGTTTCACAGTATGTTGAGTAGTGAATGCCCTATTGAAATGCATTTATAACCTCCCAAGGTATTTGGTTAACATGACATACATATGTTCTGGTATGTTTATTTAAAATCAGTTTCTCCTGTGGTTCTATTCACACCTTACATAATGATATAAACCTTTATTAAGTTTCAGATTTTTGTTAATACTGAGTCCAAATCTTGTTTTACCAAGAGTATGCTCAATACTCAATTCTCAATGTATATCTCAAGAAGAGATAAACATTTTTAAAAGCCCTAAGTAGAATTCAAAGATTGACACTTCATAGAAAAAGCTCCTACAAAAATGCAAGATTCATAAGTGTCAGGAAGACTTTCTCATCATGATAAAATAGCCAGAGGACATAATATGGAATGAAAGCAAGCAAGTCTAAGAGGGGCTGGATAAATAACTGAGGAGTTAAGAAGCCTAGAGCAGTGTTAAGTCGAGGTAGTAATGATTGCTAATACATTGAAATAATTGTTTCCCAATCTATACTAAATAAGCCATCTCTTGTTGTCAGCTATCTGTCCCACTCAGAAGAAAACTATGATATCTTCAAATGCTGTACCTAGCCTAAATAAGGAACAAAAACACCCCACAAATCTCTAGTTTCTTTATTTTACATGTTCCATCATGACTTCTTCAAAGTTGTCTTTTTGAGATATGGCTTGCAAACCATGTGATTAATTCTGTAGCAGCATTTGACCCTCTATCATCATAAAGAACATTGTTTCAAAAGAACAAATCACTTATTGAATCAATCCTTAATTTTAAGCAATGTATTTACAAATCAAAATAGAGAATTAGAATATTCATAAGAATTACTCAGAAATTTGAGGGTCACCCATTTCTTCCTAATCAAAGCAGGGTACAATGCTTTTCACTTTGGGTTTAACTTTTAGCACACAATCATATAGAAAATTTTTTTACCAGAAATATATATATCAGGACATCATCAATTTTCTCATTATCCTCCCTTAATACTTTGATATTCAAGTCTTTTGCTTTTGAGCACTTATAGTATCATTAGTCTTATGTAGTTTTCTTCTTATATTACTATAATAAACCAAAATATGAACATTTCTTCCTGTCCTTGTTTTTTTTTTTTTCAAAGAAGTGAGGGATTATCAAGTATTTTCTCCTTTTTTGTTTATAGAGACAATAAAGTATACTTGAAAATGCCCCAGTTTTGGAATCAGACAGAACTCAGTTGAATTCTGATTCTGGAGAAAATAACAAGACCTAACTATACACTATCAGCAAGAGACACATTTTTTTGGGGGGGGTGATCCCCTCAAGCATTTATTTTATGTGTTACAAATAATCCAATTATATTCTTTTACTTATTTTAAAATATACAATCAAGTTATTGACTATAGTCACCTTGTTGTGTTGTCAAATAGCAGGTCTTATTCTTTCTAACTATTTTTTTGTGCCCATTAACAATCCTTACCCCCCACCCACCCTACCCCTCCCATCCTCTGGCAATCTTCCTCTCTATGAAGGGGCACATTTTATATTTGAAGATAAAATTAGGTTAAAAGTGAAGGGTTGGGAAAAGATATACCAGGTAAACAGCAACTGTAAAAGCTGAATTATACCATACTAATGTCAGTCAGTGGCTATACTAATGTCAGTCAAAATAGACTTTAAACAAAAAAAAATCATTTTAATAGAGACAAGGCAAACGTTTTATTATAATGAGTTCATTTATTAGAAAGATATACAAATTATAAACATATCCATACTAAAATCAACATCCCAAATCCATGCAGCAAAAACAGACAGAAATTGAGGGGAGAAATCACAACAGAAATTAGAAAATACTTTCAAATAAAAGCACAACATAACAGTACTTATGAGATCCAGCTAAAGCATACTTAAAGGGAAATTCGTAGCTGTATATGCCTGCGTTAAAGAACTATCTCAAATCAGTGACCTAACCCTCCACCTTAAAAAAGCTGGAAAAAGAAGAGCAATCACAACGGAGCATGTAACAAAAATAAATGTTGAGATAAATGAAATAGAGAATATAAAAAGAGTAGAATAAGTCAACAAAACTTAGTCTGCTTCTGCTCGCTCAGTAGATATTCCCATGTCGCTGTTCCTCTGTGAACATACTCAACATGTCTAAAATCTTGTGTTCATCATGCCCAGAAGACTGAGGAGTCCTACCATTGTTCTATGTGAGCTGCATTCACAGTCTTTAATACTTCCAAGATGAATTTTTGGGGGTAATCTTTGGCTCCTCCCTCTCTGCTCCCCAATTTCACATATTAAACCAGCTGCCTTTTATTCAGTCCTTTCTTTATTATTTTTTTTCTCAAATTTCTCCCTTAAAAAAAAATGTTCACTCTTTAGCTCCTATTTGGGTTCTCATCACCCTATTCCTAAACAATTGTGCTGACAGTCTCCTGAGTGATCTTCCAACTTTAGTTTCTCTGACATACTTAATGTACCCAACACAGTCTTGCCAATTAATCTGTTTTAAACCACCGTTTGCATCATTTCTCCCCTCCACAGTCTACAATTATATACATAATAAAGAATTATTTCGTTAGCCTGGCTGTCAAGGTCCTCCACAGTCTTAGTTTTCTACCTACACCTTCCATTAGACTGTTATAAATTACTTCTTCCCCTTTCTCCTGATTAACATTCTTACTCCCACCTTTAATCATGTTGTGTACATATTTCGCTTCATAAATTTGCTTATGATTCCCACCTGGACAATGTATCTGACATTCATCCATCCACATGGTATGGCATCCTCTTAACATTTCCTTAATTTAGCCTCAGTGATTATTACCTTTTCTAAATTTGTAGCACCAGCGTTCATTTCATTTATTTGGCAATTGTGCCTGTATTATGGTATTTCTTATATATTGGCCTGTTTTGATATTTCATTTTTAGATTTATTTAACTTTTTGTGTATGTATTTCTTAACTCCTAGAACAAGAATATTAAGCAAATATTAAACACATTAGAAAGGTTTTAATGCTATGCCTTAATCCTTTCCATTTTGGGTTTAATTCTTGTGGGGTTCTTTTTGTTTAAGTTTGATATATTCTCATACCCAGTAGAAATGCAAATTACAAAGAAAGTCACTTCTAATAAATATATATGGTTTTAAAGGTAGAAGCAAGGTAATTAGAAAGATTATTTGGCTTTTTCATTTGTTTGTTTTTGAGATGTGGTTTCACTCTGTCGCCCAGGCTGGATTGCAGTGGCTCTATCTCGGCTCATTGTAGCCTCCATCTCCTGGGCTCAAGCAATCATCCCACCTCAGCCTTTGGAGTAGCTGGGACCACAGGCTTGTGCCACCACACCCAGCTATTGGCTATTTGGCTTTTTAAGATAGATTACAGAGTGTGACACTGAATCTTACACAATTATATGTTGCTGTTAATCTCAGTATCCCTTTTTAGGATTCAAACCTGACAGCCTTGAGATTTTTATTTCTTAAAAGGAAAATATCTAAACATTGTTAAGCTGTAAGGCATTTTTATTGTAGCCTTTAAAACAGGAATTTTTTCAAGTTTCATCAAAGGGCAATTTTTTAAGGACTTAGCTATAAATCCTGGGAAATAGATGTTCCTGATGGAATTCTTACCACTTGAATTATTTTAAGTACAACAGACCTGCTGGTACCCACTATTTTAAGATCCCTTAAATTCCAGCTGTCAACCAGGTGGTCCTTCTTATATTGGAAAAAATGAAGTATCATTTCTTCTTCATATTTATTTTTGACAAATGCTTATGTGCTTGTCCTAATTGGTTGAGGGCCGAACATATGTCCATAAGTACTTATAAGACAATGATACAAGTCAGACACATATATTCACATGAGCCCTGAAAGGAAATATACATAGATTTTTATGAAGAATTACAATGATAGACATTAGTACTTATATTTTTACCATTTACATGATAAAGTTATTTTGATACTTTATTGTAGTGGAGTAAACTATGTGCATATTAGAAAATTTTTAATTAGCTGGATTTTAGTTTTATCATTTCCAATAAATGTTTTCTAACATAGGGCTATTTTTTTTTTACTTTTTTCAACCTGGAATGTTAATTCCTAGTATACCTTGCAGTGAATTTTCTGGTCAATATAAATACCATGTAAATCCAATTTATAATAGTCTTTTATTTTAGAGGTTTATTTTGTTTGGTATGATATATGATTTATAAAGTTTGAATAGATAATTTTAATAAAAGTCCAAATCATAAGTGTTAAAAACAATGCTAACTATATATATTTGATAATATATAGAAAAAAGTTATATCACACTTAGTTTTTAATAGATAATGATCCAATAATATCTGAAGAAATAAAGATAAAAATATAAGGCATTTTTTTTATCCGTTGATATATCTGGACCTAGTGTGGTAAACGCCAGATTGTTTTTCAAATATTATTATAAAATACAGAATACCCAATTAATTTAATACTTCAGAAATTAAACAGGATTCCTATCAGGGAAATTTACTGAAATGTTTTTTCTAAAGCTTCAGTGGCCAAAAGACAGCAGTGGAATGTGAGAAACTAATTTTGGTTTGTTTTAACGCCTCAGAATGTTACAAATTAATCAAGTGCTACTTAAAGTCTAGAACTCATTAACTTTATAAGTTTTACTTTTCCCATGACAGAGATTAAGTTATAGCATAAAGCTTCTTTAGTCTCACATCGAGCAGGCTGCCATCCCCACTGTACAAGTGCCCTCTTATCTGTGATTTAGTGAGTTCAGTGTAGGCAGCGATGTGTGCAGTGACATAAAAGTACTAGTTTACTGTTGCGTAATGTTTATGTGCAACCAGGTACAAATCCATTCTGGTCGTGTCTTTCCTCTATTCCCAGTAATCTGCTTAGGTAAAGCAGACACTAATAGTTACTGTACCTGGAAGAAAAAATATATATGTATGTTTAAAAATACACACACACTCAACCAACATTCATTTGTTCACATGCTTTCAGTAAAGAAAAAGTCAAAGTAGATTTTAAGTATTTAATCATTTGTTTCTTATTTTAACAAATCTAAAAGGTAAAGTTACAGTCAATGTTGTTAAGGGTCACAGTACATGTAAGATTTACATATCAAATAAAACTACCAGAGCTTTAACTAAACCCAAGTGCCAGCTAATTGCTGAAAGGCATATCTCATATTTAGCTGTACAGATTTTGCCATATTATTCTTAGGAGAACAAGCAAGTGAGTTATGTGACATAAGGGTGTGAGTAAACCATTATGTAATAGTGTATATCCCCAGTAAACTAAAAATCAGCATGAATATGCAAGCAAAATTTAGTAGGCTAAATATTTTTTTCTTTTTTAACTTTATGTGGAGTGGCTGAGTTTATGGCATTTGTAGAACAGATTGAGATTTGTAATGAAAAGGGAAACAAAATGAAAAGTATTCAGAGAACAGCAGGGACCATTTGATGTGATTACAAAAGATGTTTCCTTATTCTATTTTTTTCTTTTGCAATCTAAAAACAGTAGCAGGGGGTTACAAGCAGAGTTCATCATAGGTTGTCGATCACTGTCATTTAACATTTGCAGGGGAAGATGTCTTTATTCAAGGACAGCTGGGCAAATCAGAGACACAGATTTGCAGTTAGTAGTCTGTCCAGCCTACACTAAATAAACAAGGATAGGGCAGACAAACCAGCCTCTCACATAAAAATATAATGGACTCCACTGACCTTGCTGCCCTCCATTCAGCTTCAATCCCAGTTGCATAAAAGCTTCACTACCCACTTTCAATTTCCTCTAATTACCTACATGATGTAGATAAGAAAATGAACCTTACCGATAGTCAGTGATCACACAGGAAATTAGCTAGACAAGTTGTTTAAAATTAGAGGAGTAATTTGGAGGTAAATAGAGTGTCCTACTAAGGAAGCAGTGGCTAGAAAGGATTTTTGTTTGCTTGTTTTTAACCAGGGATTGTGATTATTTTACTAGCTCACTTTCTGCTGATCTTGAGATTGCTGCCTTTCTAATTAATCTTAACTAAGTAAAAAACCTCCTCCGTAAGTATTCTGAAACACCCAGCATAAAATACTTGAGGGACCTGAGAACTAAGTAAAGTGGTGAAGCAAGCATGTCATATTCTAAAGAGCTTAGAGAAACTGTGAACTGGAATTTCAGGAGTACATGACCATGGTATTCACAGGAGAGCCTGGCAGAGCAATTGAGGATTAAATAGCAGTTGTCTTCAGTCTGTCTTCATTTTAAATCTCTTTTCAAGTCCATAATCAAAATATCATCTCCAAAAGGAAAAGAAAAAAACAACTTATAATATTTTCTATTCATTCTAAATAATCTAAAATATATAATATTTTCTATCTTTTTCTTGTGGTTCATAGCACTTGAGTTTTAATTAAAAAACACTATAGGGTTTCAGAGTAATATACTCCATAATACTTTTTTTTTTCTTTCAGAAATGTTGCATTCCAGCTGTATTAATGCTTCTTTTTCTCTATCTTTCCACACTATTTTGAGTTAGTTCCACTGAGGTGCACTGGAAAGAGCATATTTCTTTATCACACATTGATGTACTTTTGTGAGCATTTAATTAATGTGGATTTAAAAGAAACCTAATTGGAGATTGGAGACTAAAGCTCACAGTATCAAATCTGCAGTTCAAGAGGATACAATTTCTGAATATTTTATCTTGAATTTGACTGTCTCTTATATTACAAGCACATATTGGTCTTTCAAAGAACCAATATTTTCAATGATGCAATCACATATAAATTGTATGGTTACTTGAATAAAATGAATGTGAAACTACTAGTAAAGCATAAGTTTTAAAAATCTTGTTTCTTTGAATAACACTTTAAGAATCATATTTTTTAAAGTAGGTTAATTAAATTTTATTTTACATAGTGAAGGACACTTACATAATTATAAACAAAGATTTACATCTGAAAACTGTAGAACAAAATTCAATTAACTCTTAAAATTCAGTTAACATCCTTTAGAGTATCAGATGTGATTATTATCATTATTATTACTATTATTTTTATTATTATTATTTCTAACATTTACAGCACATCTTACCATGTTTAAGTGGTTTATAAACACTATCATATTGAATTCTCACACCAAACCCAAATTTAAGATAAGAAATTTGGGACCTGGGGAGTTACAGTTACTCTCAGAAGGTTACATAGCTTGGAAGTGGCAGAGCTGAAGATCACCTATTGTATCAATTCCCAGATCTCACATTTCTCTCCACCACCTCATCCCACACCATGCCCACCCTAGAGATCTATAATATCTCTAAAGGGATGAGTTACTTACTACCACATTCTTTGGATTCCCTTTATTTCAAACACTGGAAGCAGAAAAAGAAGAACTGTCAAAGGAAGTAATAGCTGTTGATTAGACCTGTTAATTATAATTTTTAAATATGGAAACTAATATTGATTTGATAATTGATAAACATTTATAAACCAAATGTCAGCTCCTTTGAAGATCTCAAAAGTGTTGTCTGTGTCAAATTTGATAATGAAAAATGTCCTACTTACCAAAAGCATATGTTTAATTATAAAATCAGTGTAGACACTTTTGGATTATGACTCACTATCAAGTACAGTGTAGATATAACTTATATTTGAAAAATAATATTAAGCCTTTTTAAGAGTATGTTACTATAATAAGTGCCAGTCCCCCCTTTTCTATTCAAATTTGATTCTTAACCTATCTTCCCTCCTTCCTTTTTCTTTTAAAAAAATCATTTTGATTGTCTTTCAATTCAATCATAACTTCTTCACAGATACCTACATGCCCACTATTATTATATGTACCTCTTCCTCATTATATTTGTCCAGTTGCCATTTTGCATTTATTTGTGATTATCTTTGATTAAGGTCTGGCTCCCCCGCTAGACTGCAGAGCTTCATAAAAGCAGAGAGTCATGTCTCTTTTTGTTTACCATTGTGTATACCTGTCCATAATATATGCTGAATAAATATGTGGTAAACAAGCTACCCAGCCCAGTAAGACCTTGTGGTTATTGAAGTACTTTTAATTTTTATTGAAGTGCATATAGTTTTTTGCAAAGAAATTAAGGAACCCTTAGTTAAGAAAGATTACTTCATGCACTAAGAAAAGGCATCACTGGGTTAACATTTTAGGAGGGTGACTGTCTGGATAACTACATAAGGCATTTTTATTAAACTTATTAAACTTAGATTAACTACATAAGGCATTTTTATGAAACTTATTAAACTTAGAAACTTATTAAACTTAGAAAAATATCTCTACTGCAGAGCATTCTTTCCAACCCAAAATATACTCAACTGTTAGCAGACTCATCTGATACTGATACTACTGGCAGTGGTCAAATACACAATCCTAGTAAAGAAGGGGATTAATGCAATAAATCACATAAATCTAGCAGAATTAGCATGGTTTAGAAGAGAACAGTAGAGTCACATCTTACATGGAGTTGAAATTCTAACAGAGTTGAAATTCTAACATAGGGAAATACAACTAAAAGTACTTATGATCAAAGTTACCTGCAAATAACCCCACAAGTGCAAGCATGGTCGAGTATAGTCAGCCCTGTTCAGATATGCTGATTCTCTGTGAGTTCAGCACTCCTAAGTTTTCCTCTACCATTGGAGCAGATCATTGTTTCTTTAGCACCAAATGAAGTAGTTTGCTTACATTTACAAGGCAAGCCTTATGAAAAATGTATACTTTTGAATACTAGAAACATATTTAGAAAGATGTTCACACTTTCAGAGGTTTCTCTTTCTCAGGGGAAAATGGGAGTGTATAGTGTATGTAATTAAGTTGACCTACATAGTACTGAAGAAAGTAGATTATCTAATTAATAGATAATACTATTAATTAGTGTTTTCATTCAAAATCTGTAGACCCAATGCAGGTTGCAGTACTAAAATAGCTATTGAATTTTCTTCTGATAAAGGATCAGAAGGAATTGGATTTTACAAACAGTAGAAAGAAACATAAAATGTGAATAAAGTTTTAGACTATGAAACAGAATTAAAGCTGATTTCTTCTCCTTCCACCACCTCCACCGAACTATCTGGATTCTTGCTGTTTCTTTAAGTGTATTTTGCATACTTGACAGAAAGCTCCTGCTCATGGATGTTCCCAACTCCACTGCTACTAATAGCATCATCATTCTTCTCATCCCTGAAGCTTAAACCTCAGATGCTCCTTATCAGTTTTCATGGATCTACTCACACTATTTTCTTTGCCTGGAATGCAGGGAATCTCTCCTCTCTCCTCTTCTACAAATTGTTCTAAGCCTAGAACAAATGCCGTGTCTTCTGGGAAACTTTCCAACACATCCAGTTTTCTTCAGTGCTCTTCTCTGTAGAATGTCTTATTCCTCACTTAAAATAATTATTCATTTATATAATTTGTTTCCCTAAATATTATTTTAATTTCCTTGAAGGAAAATTTTTTTTTTAGATTTCTGAGTCATTCTCTTCCTTATTTGCTATTACATTTTTCTTAAACCAGTTGGCAAGGCTGGGAAAATAAGTGAACTTTCTGATGGGGACTTTGATGGAGCTTAAACAGGTTGAAATGAGTCAGTCAGCAGGTAACAGTAGTTCAGTCCTGATTCACCTGAAATCCAAGAATAATAGCACTGTCTTATATAGCTGATCCCTCATTTTTGGCAAATGACTTCAAAGAAAAAAGGAAAAAACTAACATGACATACAAGAAGAAAACCAAGGTGACACACAGGGTTAAATAAACATTGTTAACTGCTAATGTGTCAGCGTATAGTTCTTCCATAAAATAGTCCAAAATAGTGAAGACAGTATTCAAAACAGCGTAGAATAGCCATAACATTGTTTTATTATTACCAAGAAAAACAAGGGACATAATTAACAAATATTTATCAATTCAGTTAAACAGAATGTTCCAAATAATATTCAAGATACTTTTTCAGCCTGCTGTATTAAATCTGTTGAAACTATTTTTGCACAACATTTTTCAGTCTCGTGGACTCACCATTTTTCCTCTCATTAGAGGGCCTTTGTATACAGCAGTCCCCCCTTATTTGCAGTTTTTCTTTCCAGGTTTCAGTTACCCATGGTCAACCACAATCCAAAAATAGGTGCCTACATTACACAAAGTATTTTGAGAGAGAAAGAGGACATTCACAAAATTCCTATTGCAATATATTATTATAATTGTTTTATGTTATTATTAGTTATTGTTGTTCATCTCTTACTCTACCTAATTTATAAATTAAACTTTATCATAGATATGTATGTATACATAGGAAAAACATAGTATATATAAGGCTTGTTACTATCCGGAGTTTCATGTGTCCGCTGGGGTTCTTGGAATGTATCCCCTGTGGATAAGGGAGAACTACTGTATACTATTCCTAGAACACTCCTCACTTCTCTTTTCACCTAGTTAATATCTGCTCATCCTGTATATCTTAGTTTGAATGCCTTTTCCTTCAGAAAGCCTTCCTAACCTTCCTAACTTGGTCAAATTTCTTTACAAAACTCTCTCATGTTTCCATGTATCTCTTCCTCATAGCACTTGTCACCATATCAAATTTGCGTTTATATATGTAGTTGCTTGAATAATGTCTGTCTGTCACACTAGGGAGCTTGACTGTGCCAAGAGCCTACAATGGCATATGGTAGATACTCAAAAATATTTATTAAATTATTTCATACAAAGTTTTGATATAGGAAGTTTCCTATTAATATAGTCTAAATTTTTTCATAAGGATTTAATACTATCGTCATTGCCCTATTTTTTAGTACTTTTGTAGTATATACTTGGCATGTAATATGGGCATGGGGTTCTGAAACTGTCAATCAAGCACAAAAAGATGCAGACATTATGCATAGATAGTAGAATATTCCAGTTGTTTCATATTACTGCATTCCAAATAATGAACTCTCTAAGGGGTTCCATCGTTAAGTCTTATTTCATAGACAAGAATCCATGAGTGCAAATCAAAAGTTGTCTTATTTTTCTCTATGAACACACCTCCCACCATGACCACTCCCCTAGGTAGCTAGTAATCTGTTTGCTGTTCCTATAGATTCATTTGCATTTTCTAGAGTAGGATATAAATGAAATCCTAGTGTATGTATTCCTGTTTTTTTTTTTTGGTCTGGCTTCTTTGACTCAACATAATTATTTTGATACTCATTCATGTTCTGGCAAACATCAATCATTAATTCCTTTTATTGCTAAAATTCCATTGTGTGGATGTGACACAGTTGTTTACCTTCTCACCTGTTGATGGACATTTAAGTTTTTTTCTGATTTTTTTTTCACTTTACAAATAATGCTGCTGCCAACTACTGTGTACAAGTCTTTGTTGTATGGACATACACCTTCTTTTCTCTTGGGTAAATCCCTAGGAATGGAATAGCTAGATCACATGGTGGGTGTATGTTTAATGTTTTAAGAAAACATGAGACTCTTTTCCAAAGAAATTGGAACATCTTACATTCCCACCAGCTATGCATGAAATTTCCATTTCTTTCCCATTCTCTCCAACACTTGCTATGTCACAGTTATTTTAATTTTGGCCATTCTAATTTATATTTTTCTTAAAACTAGTGATATGAGACATCTTTACATAAAGTATCTGTTAAAATCTTTAGCCCTTCTTTTACTGGGCTGTTTGTTTTCTCATTGTTGGAGCTTTGAGAGAACCTTATATATTCTGGATACAAGTCCTAGATCAGATATCTGCTTTGCAGATACTTTCACTCTGTGGCTTTTATTTTTAGTATTTTAACAATATATTTTAAATCTTGATGATGTTCAGCTGATCATTTTTTTTCTTGTATGGGTCATGTTTTAACTGTCCCATCAAATAAATTTTTTCCTAATTCCAGGTAACAAAGATGTTCTGTGTTTTCTTCTGGAACTTTTAAAGTTTTAGATTTTATATTTAGGTCTATGATACATTTTGAGTGAATTTTCTTATGGTATAAAATAAGGATTGAAGTTGATTCTTTTTTGCCATATGGATACCCAGTTATTCTACTACCACTTCTTGAAAAGACTGTTCTCCCCTGCTTTGCCTTTGAGCCTTGGTCAAAAATTAGTTGCCCTTGTATATGTGGGTTATTTTTGGACTCCTTGTTCAATTCCAATGTATACATTTTTGCTTAGTGTAGCTTTATAAGTCATGTAGTGCTCATGGAGAACATGCTTAAGAATCCATCATGATGGGAAATATTCCATTCTCAAAAAAAAATTATCTTCTTCCTGTTGTGGTAGTTGTGAACACTAGATATTTTTTTCCATGGGGTCAAAAGGTACCTAAGTATATGATTGTGAATGAAAAAAATAGGGGACAGAAATCAGGTATTGGCAGTTTTTCCATTTTTATTTGTGTGTGAATTTTTAATATAAATGTGGAGACATAAAGCATTAATGCAAATCAAAATGTTTCAGTGAAAAAGTTTCAGCAATTCAGCTTTATGATAACTATAAATAAACTTGTTAAATTTTTCTGGACAATGCCAGGATTTGGATTTTTTTTAAACAAGTAAATTTCTTATTGACAGCAACTAAATGATGTTGGTTGCATTTCTATCATACAGTAGATTGCATCCGTTCACTGTATTTTTCTGAGTTGTCCTACATGCAAGCACGTTTTTAATGTTGTCTGTCTTCTGTGCTGTTCCTGTAAGTTTGCTATTAAAATACATTAAACTATAAAAAAAAATAATGTAGGGCTAGCTCTTCAACGTTGGTCTTTTTATCCTGAGTGCTTTTGGCTATTCTAGGTCCTTTACATTTCCATGTGAATTTTAGAATCAACTTGTCAATTTCTAATACACACAACATAGGGCCTGCTGCAGCTTCAACTGAAATTGTATTAAATCTGTAGATCAATTTGGGAGAATTAAGGTATAACCCTTCATTTAGTTGGATCCTCTTTATTTTTTCCTAGCAGTGTTTTCTTTGTTTTGTTTTCAATATCCAGGTTTTCATATTTTTATCAGATTCATCTCTAAGTGTACTTCATATATATAATGTTATCATGAATTCCTTTTTTATTTCTGATTGTTGGTTCCAAATATACAGAAAAATACAATCAATTTTTGTATATTAATTTTGTATCCTACACCCTTGCCAAACTTATTTTTTAAATATCATTGGACTTTCTACATTGATGGTCATGTCAACTGCAAATAAAGATAGTTGTACCTCTTCCTTTCCAATCTAGATGCCTTTATTTCTTATTGTTGCCTGATTGTACTGGCTAGAACCTGTGGTACAGTGTTGAATAGAAATAGTAAGAGCAGACCAGGCATGGTGGTTCACATATGTAATCCCAGCGCTTTGGGATGCTAAGGCAGAAAGTTGCTTGAGGCAAGGAGTTTGAGATCAGTCTCCGCAACATAGTAAGATCCCAAGTCTACAAAAAATATTTTTTTTAATTAGCCAAGCATGGTGGTGCATGCCTACTCTGAAGGCTAAGGTGAGAGGATAACGAGCCCAGGAGTTTGAGGCTGCAGTGAGCTATGATTGTGCCACTACATTTCAGCCTGGGCGACAAGAGTGAGGCCCTATCTCTGTTTTTTAAAAAGAGAATAATTAGTAGTAGTGGTGAAAGCAGAAATCCCTGTTTTGTTCCAGATCTTAGGGGAGAAACATTCAGTCTGTCACTATTAAATGTTAGCCATAGATTTCTCAGAAGTGCCATTTATGGCCAGCGCTGTGGCTCACGCCTGTAATCCCAGCACTTTGGGAGGCCGAGGCATGCAGATCACAAGGTCAAGAGATCGAGACCATCCTAGCTAACAGGGTGAAACCCCGTCTCTACTAAAAATGAAAAAATTAGCCAGGTGTGCTGGCACACGCCTGTAGTCCCAGCTACTTGGGAGGCTGGGGCAAGAGAAGCGCTTGAACCTGGGAGGTAGAGGTTGCGGTGAACCGAGATGGTGCCACTGCACTCCAGCCTGGGCGACAGAGCAAGACTCCGTCTCAAAAAAAAGCAACAAAAAAAGAAGTGCCATTTATGAGGTTGAAAAAGTAACCCTCCTTTTCTTAGTTTGCTGAGAGTTTTTGTTAGGCATGGATGTTGAACTTTGTCAGATTTTTTTTTTCTGTATAACTGAGATGATAATGTGGTTTTTCTTTTAAAGTTTATTTATAAGGTGAATTATATTTATTGATGTTTGAGTGTTTAACCAATCCTGCATCCCCAGAATAAACTTCATTTGGTCATGATGTATTATTCTGTTTATATATTGTTAAATTTGCTAAAATTTTGTTTAGAATTTTTACGTTTATGAGAGATATTTTGTGGTTTTCTTGTCCTTTAATGTTATTGTCTAGTTTTGACATAAGGACAGAACTGGTGCCATCAAATTAGTTGGGAAATATTTCTGTCTCTTTGATGTTCCAGGAAAATTCTTACAGAATTGGTTTTAATTCTTTCTTAAATGTTTGATAGAATTCACTAGGGAAGCTATCAGGGCATGGAGTTTTCTCTGTCAGAAGATTTTTTACTACAAATTGAATTTCTTTAATACATGTAAAGATTTTCAGGTTATTTCTTCTTGAGTTTTCTATTTCTTCTTTTTTTTTGTCTTTCAAGGAGTTTATCTATTTCATCTTAGTTTTTACAGGTAAAGGCATAAAGCTGTTCATATTATTTTTTAATTATTATTTTAGTATCTGTAAAACCTGTAGTTATGTCACCCCTCTTATACCTGATATTGGTGTGTGTCTTCTCTCCTTTTTCCCTGATCTGTTTGCTAGAGGAGTATCAGTGTTGTTGATCTTCTTAAAGAACCGGCTTTTGGTCTCATTTGTTTTCTCTATTGTATTTGTTTCCTATTTCAGTGATTTGTTCACTTTAATTTTCATCCTTTCCTTTCTTTTGCTTATTTGGACTTAATTTCCTGTTCTTTTTCTAGTTTTTTAAGGTGGACACAAAAGTCACTGATTTGAGACCTTTCTTCAATTCTAATATAGATGTTTAGTTTTATAAATCCCTCCTAAGTACTGTTCCAATGATATCCCACAAAATCTGAGACGTTATATTTTTATTTTCATTCAGTGCAAAATACTTTCTCATTTCCTGTTTTATTTTTTCTTTCAATCATGAGTTAGAGGTGTATTACTTAGTTTCTAAATATTTGGGATTTTCCAGAGATCTGTCTGTCATTGGTTTCTCATTTCATTTTCTTGCAGTCAAAGTATCACTTGAAATTTGTTTTTATGGCCCTCTAATATGATCTCAGTAAATAGTCTCTGTGTTCTTGAGAATAAATATATTCAACTCTTATTGCGTTGTGTGTTTTATAAATGTCAATCAAGTCAGCTTAGTTAACAGTGTTGTTCAATTCTATATTCTTGCTGATTTTTTCGACTTGTTTTAGTGATTATTAAAAGATAGGTATTGAAATCTTCAGCAATACTTCTGATTTTTTTTCTGTTTCTCCATGTACTTCTACAAGTTTTTTTTCATGGATTTTGAAGCTGTTATTCAGGACATAAATGTTTCAGATTGTTATGTCCTTCTGATTGATTGACTCCTTTATAGTTAATGAAGTTACCGTCTTTATCCATGATGATAATCTTTGCTCTGAAATGTACTTTATCTGAAATTAATATAGCCACTCTGCCTTTCTTTGAACTACTGTTAGCATAGTATATCTTTTTCTATTCCTTTACTTTTAACATATTTGTCTCTCTATACATTAATATATACATATCTACACATATATACATGTATTTATATATGTATATTAGTGCGTGTTTGGTAGTAGGCAAACATATATAGTTGGTCCTCTGTGTCTATGGGTTCTGCATTCATAGATTAATCAATTGCAGATCGAAAATATTCATAAAAAAATGGCTGCATTTGTACTGAACATGTATAGACTTTTCTTTGTTGCCATTATTCCCCAAACAACACAGTATAACAACTATGTACATAGCATTTACGTTGTATTAAGTATTATAAGTAATCTAGAGATGACTTAAAGTATACAGGAGGATATGTGTAAGTTACATGCAAATACTACACATTTTATATAAGAGACTTGAGTATCTGGATTTAAGTATCTGTAGGGGGTCCTGGAACCAATCCTCCATGGATACCAAGGGACAACTGTAGTTGGGTCATGCTTTATTATGTAGATAATAAACTCTAATTATGTATTTTAAACTCCATAATGCATTATTTATTATTTTTGTTTAAACAATCATTTTGTATTGAGTGATATTAAAATAGTAATAACAAATTATTACATATTTATCCATGAAATTACCACTTTTAGTGCTCTTCATTTCTTTGTGTAGATCCATATTTTCATCTGGTATAATTTGTCTTCTGCCTGAACAATGACTTTAACATTAAGCATGTCAGCTGAATTATTTCAGCTTTTGTATGTTTGAAAATTCTTCACTTTTGAAAGATTTATTTTCACTGAATTTAGCATTCTAGATTGACAGTTGTTTTTCTTTTTTTATTTTATTATTATTTTTTTTTTGACGGAGTCTTGCTCTGTCTCCAGGCTGAAGTGCAGTGGCGCCATCTCGGCTCACTGCAACCTCTGCCTCCCGAGTTCAAGCGATTCTCCTGCTTCAGTCTCCCGAGTAGCTGGGACTACAGGTGCGTGCCACCATGCCCAGCTAATTCATTGTATTTTTAGTAGAGATGAGGTTTCACCATGTTGGCCAGGATGGTCTCAATCTCTTGACCTCGTGATCCGCTGGCCTCAGCCTCCCAAAGTGCTGGGATTACAGGCGTGAGCCACCGCGCCCGGCCCGACAGTTGTTTTTCTTACAGTAAATTAAACATGTTGCTTCACTGTTGCCTTATGGCATTATTTCTGATGAGAAACCTGGTTTCTTATCTTCCTTCCACTGTACATAACATAGTGTTTCCTCTGGCTGCTTTTCATATTTTCTATTTATTAGTGATTTTGAGCAATTCAGTAGTGATGAATTATGGTTGTATAGTTCTCTTCATTTTTCTTTGGTTGAGGTTTGTTGAATATCTTGAATCTATAGATTTATAGTTTATATCAAATTAGACCTTTTCCAGTGACTATATCTTCAAACTTTTTTCTGCCCTTCCTTCCACACTGTGCATTAGGCCACTTGAAGTTGTCTCACAACTCATTGATGTTGTGTTGATTTTTTAAATTCTTTTTTCTCTTTGTGTTTCATTTTTAATAGTGTCTATTGATGTCTTTAAGTTTACAAATTTCTTCAATGTGTATTCTTCCATTAATAAAATTCAGTGTATTTTTCATCTCAGACATTGTAATTTTCATCTCTAGAAATTTGAATTGAGTAGTTGTCAGTAACTTTTTAAATATGTAAAATACAGTTGTAACAACTGTTTTGTCTGCTAATTCTAAGATCTATGTCAGTCCTAAGTTTTCATTGATTGATTATTCTCCTTGTTATAGATCCTCTTTTCCTGTTTTTTTGCATAGTTGATAATCATTAATTGGATGACATACATTGTGAATTTCACCTTCTTGAGTACTGTATTTTTTGTATTCCTATAAATCTTCTTGAGCTCTGTTCTGGAATGCAGTTAATTTACTTGGAAGCTGTTTGATCCTTTTAGGTGTTGCTTTTTGATTTGCTGGGCAGGTCTAGAGTAATATTTGTCGTAGAGCTAATTATTCTCCACTACTTAGGCAAGGTTGTCTTCATCTCCTCAATACAGGTAGTCCTCCAGGTGTACCTGGATTCTCTCTCACTACACCACAGTGTGGTAACGCTCCATGCAGTAAGCTGAGGCAATGCTAAGGGTCACCTAGTTTGTTTTCTATATATCAGAGATCATTCTCTTTCATAGTTTTATGTTCAGCATCTGGAAGACCACTGTTTCATAGGTTTTTGTCTTTTTTTTTTTTTTAATTTTTTGGAGGAAGTTGGCAGTTGCAGTAGGAGGATAAATCCAGCCCCTGTTTGAATATTAACATATCCAATTAATGCTATGTCTGATGTAGGATTCATATCAACATCCATGGACAATCTCAAATAACTACATATTTGGAAAAATATGATGTTTGTTTCACAACAAACGCTAATAAATAGATCAGTCTATTTTTTAACAGAACAGTTCTAGTTTCGCTTGTAGGTTCAATTGGCACTTATTGACTGATATCATGGAGACTACTTTTCACTACTGTACCCTAAAAAATCTAAGATGAAAAATCAAAACATTCCAGAACAATCTAACTCTCTGTATGATCTAATTGGTTACAATAAATAGTAAGTAATAATTCTGCTCTTTACCCTTTTCTCATCTTGCCAATCTTATCCTTGCCCCTTTCTCCAGCCCTGTCTTATTTCTTCCATTCATTCACAAGATCTTAAGTTAAACATCACTTTTTCAGAAAGCTTTCCCTCACCCTCTAAAATAAGAAGGTCCCCCAAACTGAATTGCCATTCAACACTCTGTACTTTTACCATATCGTAACATTTATTACACTTTATATAATTTTTTTATCTACCTCTCAGTTTCTGGTTCACTGCTGTGGCCCCAGTGTCATGTATAGTGTGTGATGCCTAGTAAATACTCTGTTATTTTTGTTGACTATAAATACAAAGGAACATTCATGAATTTCACAGATTGTACGTTATTCACTATCATTAATACATTGCTTGTGTATTAATGATAATATTGAACAAGCAAAATTCTAAGGGATATGGTTATTGTATGATTTTTCTGAGCCATGTTTTAAATGTCAGTAAAGCTAAGAAGTACATTAATTATTATACTTTGATCCAACAATGTGGGGCTTTTTTTTTTTTTCAGGATGCAGAAGAATATACAGATTTGCCAGTGAGACACAATGAAGATCATATGAATAGTGAACTGGCAAAATGTCTTCCCATTGAATCAAATCCTCATTCATTTGACAGCCCTCACACCAAAGCACATCTCCTGCTACAGGCACATCTCAGCCGAGCCATGCTACCCTGCCCAGATTATGACACTGATACCAAAACAGTCTTGGACCAAGCTCTCAGAGTATGTCAGGTATGAAAGTCATTTCTAATACCTATGTGTGTTTTCTCCCATCATTCCTGCCCTCTTTTTTCTAGTTTTAGGATAAAATGTACTTGCATTTAACAACTTTATGGTAGCATTGTTGAGAAACAACTGGTTGATCATATCAAGAATTTCCAAAGTAAAAGCAAATATAAATGAAATAAGATGACAGTTTTAGTCACCCATTCTACTAAAACATATTGAAGGCAAACTACGTGCCAGATACTTTTCTAGGCACTGAGCATATAATAATTAACAAGACAGAAGAGTCCCTTCTGTTAACGGACTTTCACTCAAGACGGGGAAGACTGACAATTTAAAATATAAATTAATAGGTAATAACTGCCATTTTTCAATAACTGCTATTTTTTAAAAAAAATAAAGAATGGTAAAATAAATAAAGAGAAAGACGGAGGGTAATGTTTTGTACCATTTTTTAATATGGTATTCAGGAACTATCTCACTGGTAAGGTAACATTTAACTAAAAATGAAAGAAGAGAGTGAACCGTAGGGTCTCTGGAGGTGTGTATTCAAACACTAAGAAAGTTTGCATGTAGGAAGTTACTTGGTATATTCAAGGAGTATCAAAGAGGCTTATTGTAAAAAAGGTCAAAAGAGATGGTTAAAACAATAAAAAAAAGTGAGAAGTATTGCAGTTTTTACATTTTGCAAGTATCTTTAATCTCCAACTTAAGAGATCAACTAGATTTATATATCTTCTTTTACAATCAACATAAAATGTCTGTTGCAATAGGATGTGTTAGTTGAAGTATATGAAAAAAATCCAGCCTAGAGAGGTAAACAGTTTAAAAAGAGAAGAGTATTTTTATAGCCTTTTCAGATAATTGTGGGTATTCTTTAATGCTACACTAGAATCTGACAAGTGATATTTCTTGAAGATTAGTTGCAATATGGAATCTGAAACCATATCAATGACCTTTTTATACCTTAAGTGCTGTAGTGCTAGACAATAAATGATGGTGGTTTGAGCAGGTTAGTATGGGTGAGGTTGATTAAAACTGGTCAGATATTGAATATTTTTCTAAGGAGAACTAACAGACTCTTCTAATGAATTGAACAAGGGTTTTTAGGGAAAGCAAGGAACCAAAGATTATTTCAAGGCTTTTCTCCATAGCAACTAGAAGCATGGAGCTGACATTACTGGGGGATGATTGTCAGAAGAGCCGGTTTTGGTGGGGGAAGAATACCTAAAGGATTGCGATTATAAAGGATTTCGATTTTCTACTTTATACCTTTTTTGGACATGTTTCTAAACATTTTTTTTTTCATAAAACCCATTTTTAAAATTTTCAAAAGATTTAAGTTCTTTAAAGGTAGAGTAAGTTAGTCTATATATGTACAAGAATATACATTATGAAATGATTTGCAAAGTTAAGGCTTGGAAATAACCTAAGTATCTCTCAGGTTATCAGAACACTACAAAATATTACAATTCCATTTATGAACTCTACATTTGTATAGAATGTCCATATCTGTATATGAACATATACCCAGAGAGGAGATCCAGAATGGTGTCCACCAAAAGATTAACAGTAGCCGTATCTGAGCAGCAGGAATTGGGGTGATTTTTAATTTTTTTCTTTATGCTGTTCTTAAATGTTTGAATGTTTTAAAATTGGCCTCAAACATTTTTGTTACCAAAAATAACAATTTTATTGTTTTAGAAACTGAAGAATTATTTAAAAAATAGAGTAAGCTCAAGTTATCAAAATTGGAAGGGAAGTAAGGCTATAATAAACATGTAACACGTTTTTACACTCTTTTGTAACTAACACATGGTTTACTTATTGAGGAAGGTGATTTGCTACTGCTTATTAGTCACACTTCACAAAGGTTAAAGGTCCTAAAGTTTTAGCTGTTGCCCTGGATACTCATTTGTGTTTCCTATAACTTCCTTTCCTCTCTCAAACACTTAACTTGTTAATGAACTCTGGGGTCAGAAAGGGTTGAAGAGAAGTGGCAAGATGAATTAAATTTTTATATTTGCAGATATATTGATTGTACATTGTAATTTTTATATGTATATTACTTCTAAAACCTATATTGCGTGATCAGTTCATTGATTCATTTTTAGCACTCAGTCAATAATGATTCAAAAGCCATATAATAATCTAGGAAATTTCTTAAAGGAGTCTGTTTCTAAATTTACTTTTAAGGAAAAGGATTCAGCCAGGTACTTTTAGCCTCTATTAGATATTTTTATATACAGTATATATATTTATACAGTATATATATCTATATATATCCTTATATACAGTGTCTGGGATAATATTTATATTTCTTAAATATTGTTGATCCTTCTAAACAGCATTTAAAGAGAAATCGTTTTCTCTTTAATTATAAAAATAGTATGCTTCATTGTAGATAATTTGGAAAAGCAGCATACTAAAATTAAAGTCATTCATAGTAATTATACCTTCACCCACATGAGTATGAGGGTCTTTTCTTTTTTTCAATGAATTTTTAATTTTCTTAAAATTAGACTTTCGTTTTGAAATAATTTCAAGCTTACAAAAAGTTTGTAAAATACTACAATGAAATTTTCTTGTACATTTTACCCAGCCTCCCCTAAAGGTAACATCTTAACTCGGTGTTGGTTCAGTCCTATTAACAAATCTACAGACCTATTCAAATTTTGTCAGTATGAATTTTATCCCAATAATTGCCCTTTCTCTCTCTGTACCATGATCCAATTCAAGATCCCACGTTTCATTTAGTTGTCATGTCGCCTTAGTCTTCTTGTCTTTCTTGGCACTTGTGAAGAGTACCAAGCAGTTATTTTATGGAGTTATCCCACAGTTTGGATTTGCCTGATGTTTCCTTCTGATTACATTTAAGTTTGTGGTATTCTTTGTCAAGAATACCACAGCAGTGATGGTTTGTCCTCTTAGTGTATCATATCAGGAGGCTTATGACAGATGTGTATGGCAATGATATTGACTTTATACAATTGAGGTGATGTCTGCCAGCCTTCTTCACTATAGAGTTACTTTTTCTTTTGTAATTAATAAATATATTTGGGGAGAAACTTTGAGATTATATAAATATTCTGTTTCTTGTCATAGTTTTTAACATTATTTTCAGCATCCATTTGTGATATTTGCCCAGAACAATTACTACTGTGATTTTCTTTTTTAGTCATTCCTGGAATTATACTATAAGGAAGAACTTCCCTTCTCCCCCATTTATTTACTTTATTCAGTTATTTATTTATGTAAGTATAGACTCACCCCAGTGTTTCTTGAATACTACCTTGCATTCTGGCATCTTGTGCTGTCCCTGCCCCAGCTTTGGAATCGGCCATTTTGTTTTTAAGAAACTTGGTTCCTTTTATTAGAGAATGGTTGTAGAAACTAAAATCTGGACTGGGCATGGCAGTTCATACCTTTAATCTCAGCACTTTGGGAGGCCAAGACAGGAGGATCACTGAGGCCAGGAGTTCAGAACCAGCCTAGGCAGCATAGTGAGACCCCATCTCCACGAAAAAATTAAAAATTATCTAGGTGTGGTGATGGATGGTAGGGGGTGCCAAGGTGAGAGAATTGCTTGAACCCAGGAGGTCAAGGCTGCAATGAGCCATGATCAAGCCACTGTGCTCCAGCCCGGGTGATAAGAGTTAGATCCTGTCTCAAAAATAGAAAATCTGGGTGCTTGCTGCATTCCATTGCTACTTGGGTGTCTTTGCTTCTAGGCCCTCTGTGTACAAAGCAAGGAAATGTAAGTATGTATACACAGACATTTGTATTTATTTGCATGTCCATTTACCTCCCGTGTGTATGTGTGTGTAAAAACATCTATATTTATCATTCTTATACCTCTTATTTCAATCTAAGACCAAAGGGTTCACTTAGTCTTCCTCCTTTTTTATTAATAACTCCTCTTTCTACCTGTAAGGTATAACACTATTGTTAATAAAGATATATTTATTTAGCTCCTCAATCCTAGAATATTCAGTGTTGTAGTTTTAGAATTACTAGCCCTTACTCTTGCAAAAAGCAGATGCTAACTAAAATGCAGTAGTTGTTTACAGTTCTTTTTTTCCTTTAGAGACTTTTTCTTCATACATTTACACGCACAGTCACTTTTTTCTTATAGAAATATCTTCTGTTATTTTATAAATGCCTAATAATTTATAGCATTAAATATTGTTCTCAAGAATAATTTCTAATGGCTACACTATATTCCCTCATATAAAATATCATAATTTATTTAGTGAGTTATCTGTTATTAGACATTTGGGTATGCAGTTTTCCTCGATTTTAAGTTATAAGCATTCGTTTTGACCATCTTAAATGTTTGGCTTGGCTTGTCGGAAGCCACCTGGAAAGAAAACTGCATTGTAAAGAGATGAAAACCAGCTTCTGCTGGGCGCCATGGCTCATGCCTATAATCCCAGCACTTTGGGAGGCCAAGCCAGGTGGATCACAAGGTCAGGAGTTCAAGACCAGCCTGGCCAAGATGGTGAAACCCCATCTCTACTAAAAATACAAGAATTAGCCGGGGGTGGTAGTGGGCGCCTGTAATCCCAGCTACTCGGGAGGCTGAGGCCGAGAACTGCTTGAACCGGGGAGGCGGAGGTTGCAGTGAGCCAAGATCGCGCTGCTGCACTCTAGCCTGGGTGACAGAGCAAGACTCCATCTCAAAAAAAAAAAAAAAAAAAAACACGAAAACCAGCTTCATATTCTAAATCCTCTCACTCTTGGAAGTTCTCTACAAAATTGTGTGAAAGTAAACAAGCCAGAAAGAGGAAAGAATATTAGAGTTGCCAATGGGAAACTTGGAGAAAATGACTGATTGGCAGTTCTAATTCTGTGCCCTGTTGTTTTCATTTGATAACATGGGTACTATTGGCCTTAGAAAGCACTGGTTCAAGCAGTTTGCAGCTCTGCTGGCTGATTGAAAATTATACTACCTCTCTCATGGGACATCAGCATGATCTTGCAAACTGTGGATGGGAATCTGCCACCAGTTCTGACTGTAAATTCTCCTCTGCTGCCATTTTAGTATAAGGCCATAGGCAAGTCACTTAACCTCTGGTATCTGAGTAAAACTAACACCTTAGAAGAGTGGTGCATTAGTTAATGTTTAGAAAGTAAACAACAATTTCAGGACTTGGAAGTAGGTCTTAGTATCTTCATTCTTAGTAGTTCTTTTATTTCCTCGCTTTATCATAGTAATTTAACTATTCCCTTTATTTTATAGAAGCATACCTTTTATTTGCACCATCATCCAGACTATGAAAACTCTGTAGTCTTGACTACTCATGTTCTGAGCAGTCTTTCACAAAAGAAAAACATAGTTGTAGTAGAATTATTCCTCCTGGCTTGAAGTCAGAGTCTACAATACAGCCTGCCTTTGCTTCTCCTATCCCATTTCAAATTATGTA
This sequence comes from Homo sapiens, assembly GCF_000001405.40. NCBI lineage: Eukaryota > Metazoa > Chordata > Mammalia > Primates > Hominidae > Homo > Homo sapiens. The sequence goes on along the minus strand of NC_000006.12, from coordinate 100,534,742 downwards.
TCAAGGGCATTTGTGTCATTTTTTGGTTTGAGATATTTTTGTCATGGTTCCTTTCAATATGTTACTGTTACTAGCATTTCCTTTGCTATCCCCCTTAACAAAAATAAATGTCAAAATTACTATGCATATCTCAATTTTTAAAATTTGTTTACAATATTCTAATTTGTAAATTGCATATTTATGGAATTGATTGTCCTTGCCCTTTACCTTTGAAATCCTCTTCTTGATCATATTAACTGCAAAATGTATTTGTAAAATGTAGTAAGTGATATGACAGCCTTTCTGTACTGGATATGCCAAAGAAAAGCTTCATGTTAGCTCTTATGGAAAAATTAAAGTAAAAAGTATCAAAAATTTAAGTGAGTTGTCTAAATGTTCAAATTTGGTGACAAAACCAGAACTAATGATAAATGTCTAGTGTTTTGAGTACCTCTCTGCCTTTTTTGTGTATTTTTTGTTTGTTTGGTTGGTTTTGATTTTTGGTTTTTGGTTTTTGCCTGGGCAACAGGATCTTGCTCTGTCTCCCAGGCTGGGTGCAGTGACACCATCTTGGCTCACTGCACCCTTGACTTCTGGGCTCAATGGATTCTCCCACCTCAGCCTCCTGAGTAGCTGGGACTACAGGTGCAAGCCACCACGCCTGGCTAATTTTTTGTATTTTTTGTAGAGACAGAGTTTCACCATGTTGTCCAGTCTTGTCTCAAACTTCTAGGACTACAGGCGTGAGCCACCACGCCCAGCCCTGACACTGTTTTTTATCAAAGAACAAAGCAGTTGGTTTTCAGAGAAGTTAAATAGCTCTGCTAAAGGTGATTTGTTGAGGCAATTTGTGCTGAAACCAAATGGAGATTCCAGGACTTTTATTCTTGCTCTGATATCTCTGATCCTTTCTAAGATGTGCCACCAGTCTGCAAATTAAAAAATAATCTTCATTTAAGTGAAAAACACCTAAATATAATACTAAGCCAAATAGTATAAGAATATGTGTTTATATCTTGGTCACTCTCACTACTTCCTATATATGGTATTTATTTCAAAACTTTCCAGTAATTGAGCTTTCATATGTGTTATGCAAAAAGAGAAACCATGGCTTATGGAGCCTGAACTCAGTGATCTGAGAAGCAGAGGGCTGTGTGTTTCCAAGTTTAATTGTGCTGTCAATTGACTGAGTTAGTTTGGGAAAGTTTTTTTTCAGAAGTCATAGAGGCTAGATTTGCCCTTCAGCTCATGTTATCAAGCCTGCAGCCTACATTTTAACAGATCAAAACACTTGTGTGTATTTTAAGATTTATTTTACATCAAAACACTTGTATGTATTTTAAGATTTATTTTAAAGGATTCTAGCAGCAATATTCTTTTCAGCCCTAGTAAAAGTTTTGTTTAATTCTAAGATGCCATCATAGTGAACAACCTTAACTTCAGTGCTACATAACTATATTCAAAGCTTTATGTATTTTTGTTTATAATTACACAGTAATTATAAATGCTTAGTACCAACCTTATGACAAACACTATTCTGTTGAAAAGGTTTTGCATTTAAAAAGAAAAATATATAAAATCCAAGGCACTAGGCCACAAACGAATATCAGACTTTTGAAGAAAACACTTTATATTGAAAAACAAAAACAAAAAAACAAAACAAAAAAAAACAGCTAATGGGATCTTATTTCAAAACACAGCATATGTGAATTAATCAGTCTGAAAACAATAACTATAACTCAAAATCTTCAAAACAGGAAACAAAACAGTACATATGTATAGAGATATATGTATCTTTTAAAAGTGTTTCATAATTGAAATTCTCCTTTATATTTACAAAAATGAAATCAGGAAATACTGAAAGCAGCAGGATTCTTCTTTTTCCTTTTTCTTTTAATAACCAATTCCAGTAGCCTGAATATAAATTTTCAGATTTTTCTTTTGGTAAAACTGCATTCTTGAATTAAAATTATGATTGGAATATTAATATGTTTATAGGGAAAGCTTTCTAGTCTATTTCAAAATCATGTAAATGAAAAGCAGTTTTAATGTGTCATTGTTTCTTAAAATAATTTCCATATTTGCATAAAATGTACTGCTATTCTGAAATACATTCCTTTGTTAATATCAACCCTAGACCTTAGAGAGTGCCTGGATATACCAAGCAGAATCTGCTCTTATCAAAAGACCATAATCATCTAACATTTGAAGTATTACATTTCTAGCCTGCCTTACGGCAATGTTTAAGAAAGCAAGAAACCCTTCTTTGAGTGTCAGTAAGTGAACAGAGAAATGATCATTTTCAGCATAAAAGCAGCTCATGGCTTTTGTAATTTAAAAAAAAAAAAAAAAAAAAATATATATATATATATATATATATATATACACACATACACACACACACACACACACACACACACACACACACGCAAGATAGCATTCTGCTTTGATGAGAAAACTGAGCTAATCTGAGTGAAACAAAAACAGTAAATAGACTAGAAGCCAGACTGGTATTTTGCATCGTGTATGCTTGTTTGAAAATCTTTGCTTCTGAAGTAAATATTTGGCAACCACAGTGATTAGCAGTTAAAGTAATTTCAACAAAATAAGAAGTCATTAAAAATGGACTGTTTGTCTGAAAGAGCAGTACCTATATTATAAAGATTGAATTTCGTGGCTCATCACAACCATTTTCAAAATTTAACTCCTACTATCTTCTTATAAATTAAGAGAATTTCATTTGTGTTCCATAGTGCAATGACAAAAAAAAAAGTAAAAACAAAACAAAAAATAAACCCTCATGCCTAAATTTAGAATATTGTATTGTGTAGCAATCCAAAACATTCAAAACACATTAAATAGTTTAACTTATGTGACAGGCAGATAAGCATTTCAAAAGCATAATGAAGTCCAATTATGTAGTGCATAATGTAGACAGGAGTAGAATCTTACATTATGCGGGCATTTTCTAAATAAAAGCTCCCCACAGGACAACTATATATAAACATGGGTAAGGTAAGCGCAGACTAGTTCTGTGGAACCTTTTGAAATCAAGAGTCTGAAACACAATACATTTTTCAGGTAGGCACCAAGTTATTCTAAAAATTTTTCACGTTGGTTATTCTGACATTGTTTTTTCATCAGATACTCTAGTCACATCAACAACACATGTCATTTGCCAGGAAAAAAAAAAATTCCCCCCAAACCAAAATACCATTCCAGATCCAGTATACTTAAATATATCACCCTTATTGGAAGTGCTGTTAACATAGTCTTTGCAACTAGCCCAAAGCGTAGTTTAAGAAGTTCTTATAAATGGCTTTGTGATGTTCATATGTTTAATTCTTATGCCAACTGTTTTCTGATGAAGACAGCATTGTGCTTTATGCAAGAATGGAAACCTCAAAATAATCACCATAAAGCTTCTAGGACTTATGGGAGAATAAAGTAGGATGGTCCACAGATGTAAGATGAAATCCACAATGTTGGAATTATAAATGTTTAGAGCAGCCCAGACTAGAAGACAAGCCCAAACCACCATTAGAAGAATGAAATACAATATGGTCCAAGATGTATCCTTAAAGTTTTGTCTCAACCCTCAGTCTGAATTGTGAGAATTGATCTTTAGTTCAGTCCAGCCAGCAGAAATTGTGCAATTTTCTGTTGTATTTATTGTACAGACTATGTACGTTCTAGAAGATTCCTTTAGTGCTACACTGTTGTACTTTTTGTCCCAGCAGTTTGAGGGCGTGCAAATTCCACAAAGTCATCAATAAGAACAGGCCATGCTCCTTCATCATAATTAGACACGTGATTTGCAATCACTGTACTGAAGTCTAAAAGAAGATTCCAAGTGTCTTTTGGTATTGATTGTTTGTGATGTTCCACAAAAATTTATTCCATAAGTCTAAGAATTTAAATCTTCTATTAAGCACTAAGTTCCAGTAGGCAATGGCCATTTCTAGATCTAATCCTTTTTGTCTTGGATTCTTTGCAAAATTAAAAGTAAACTGGTAAAAATCCTTAAATTGTCCTGGTTCTTTCAATTCTTGTTACATCTTGGGTATCTGGGCCTTTAGTTTTTCTATGCTGTCACATCCTAATTCTGTCATGCCATCCATGAACTCCTGTTTGGAGAACTCACACTGTATTGCTGCTCTGAACATCCATGCAATAATCAACACACTAATGCTGGCTGGATTGAGTGCCAGGCCATCACAGAACTGCTATATACCATCTATTCCAATTTTATTCTCATTTTGAGGATCTTTGTCTCTATTGTACAGTTGTTCTAACTTCTTCCTTTCCAGTGATCCTTTTACACTCTCTCATATATAAAGTTCAGGATTTTGGAAAAAATTATCTGTTGCAACATCTAACTTCCAGTCATTTTGAGATAGACAACTTACTGCGGTTTTTTTCACTAGATTGTGTGAAGATCATAAACTGACAAACTTTATCCTTCTGCGATGATTTCAACTTGTTCATGTTGGTGTCCTCCAGGCCTCTCCCCTCCTCCTGTGGCTCTGAGCGAATGAGCAGCAATATTCTTAAAGACTACAAGAAAAATGATGTTAATTCATGAAAGGAAAACACATCTCACACACATGCACATAGAGAAATGTGACAGTGTACACTGATTAGAAAGATTTCTAGAAACCTATGCTTGCAAATTTAAATTGGAATTAATGTATGTTAAATACCAAATTATACCAGAATATTTGGAGAACTGCACACCATTCCTGTACCTCCTACCAAAAAAGAAAAAAAAAAAAATCACGATTTAATGATGGGCCCTAAGGCAAACATCATGACAGCTGTGGTAATGGTGAACATTTATTGAGGGCTTTCTTCGTATCAGGCCCTGTTGTACTTGCTTTGCATTTAATTGACCCATTTTCTACAATAGTCTAGTGAAGCAGTACAATTATTACTCTCGTTTTACTGATGAAGACTAGGTAACTTTCCCAAAATCACATCAGAAGGCAAAAACAGCTTTCAGCACAGGTTGGATATACCATAAAAATGTATTTGACTGTGTTTCCTTTGTCCTATATTGATGGATTTTAAAATTGTACCCATGATCTAGTGAGAATTTGTTTTAAAATTTGAGAACTTCATAGAAATTTCTACATTTTTTAACCGAGAATTCCCATTAGACCATGAATAATATTTTTAATCCCTGTTTTTCAATGCATACTTAAATCACCTCCTTTTAATTACTCAGGTTCCCTTTTCAACGGTCTGCCTGTATTTACTTTAACCAGTTTCTAAGAGGGATTTGGTAATTTGATTGAATATTTGTAACTGCTTTATTATATCACTCTACAGTGTCCAGTTGGTAGGGTGTTTGCCTTTTTTGTATCAACTGCTTATGCATCTTCTCAAGTTTTTATATTATGCTATATAAACTAATGAATTAACCACTTGTTTCCTCACATTCTCCCATAAAGCTACAATAATTGAAAATAATGAGAGAAAGATCAGATTGTTGATCCATAGGGAGAAGGAAGAATAACATCATAATTATAAGATAGCCCTATAATAAAAGGTAAATGCACACTAGAATAATTTCTGCGTAGGTTTACTATAATAAACACATACACACACACACACACACATTTTATGTTCCTCTCTCATTTTAAGGTTTGCCTCCTTAGGTTAGTTTTTTGGCTTCTTTCACTGTCTAACCACCACCACCACCACTGATGGTGCCACCTGGATAGCAAACTTTGTCCACCTACTGGTTCTTTTTGAAAAACTTCAAACTTCTAGAAGTAATAGGCAATCTCAGAGGTTCCTTGCCTCAAGATATGGAACTACCAATTCCCCCAAAAGATAGCAGATATCTCCTCTTTACTATTGAGGAAGAATGTAAAGATCTGTCTTCCAAGGTAAATGTTAGTATAGATTGAATTCATATTCCATTGCCCTAATGGAAGTAGCCAGCACAGCTGCTTTGAAAGTATTCTAGGTGATTCAGTGTGCCTGAAAGGAAGACCTTTAAGGAGCTATGTTCTGGTGGATAAGTTTCCATTGTTATATATAGTCTTGGCTCTAACTTTAGTAGGGGAGCTTTCATTTTATATTATTTTCCTTAACACCCAAGTATTTTTTTTTCTTTTAGTGAAAGCAAGTTTATTAAGAAAGAAAAGGAATAAAAGAATGACTACTCCATAGGATGAGCAGACAAGTCTTTTTGATCTACTGAGTTTCCAGTCTTTCTTCTCTTTCGCATGTGAGATACTATGTAGACTCCAATTAATGTCACAGTGTTCTAGTAGGCTTTATCAATTGTCATATGTGCTAGCCAAAAAAATAAATCAGCTGCATAAATAAAGGGAAGAAGTATATGAATTGTATGTCTATACCTTTCTTCATTCAAACAACCTTCCTATATTTGCAAAAACAAATCTTTACAAGTATATTGGTGGGATTGTTGTTTAGCCTAAACTTCAATAATTTGACCTCTTAATCTCTGTAACAACTTCTGATAAACTAAAATTATATTACATTTCACATAGCTAGTATTATATTTTTCCTATAATTCACAGATATTCTGAAAATGCATTTTATCTTTAATCTATTTTTTAAAGTATATTAGCAGATAACCTTAAGATATGTATGGGCCAAGTGCAGTATCTCATGCCAGTGATCCCAACAGGGGGGAGCTGAGGCAGGAGGATCACTTGAGGCCAGGAATTCGAGAACAGCCTGGGCAACAACAAAGTGAGACCCCATATCTACCAAAAAAAAAAAAATTAGCTGGGCATGGTGGCACTCACCTGTAGACCCAGCTGCTTGGGAGGCTAAGGAGGATCATTAGAGCCCAGGAGTTTGAGGCTGTGGTGAGCCATGATTCATGCTGCAGCACTCCAGCCTGGGTGACAGAGCGAGATGCCATCTTAAAAAAAACAACAAAAAAAAAAACAAAGAAGATGTGTGTGTATATCTATGGATACACACAGTAGAGTCTGAGAATAGGAAAGAATAAGGGAAGAAAAAGAAGATATAACGATGTGGGTATTTTTCATTAAAAATTATTTTAAGTGAAAGATATTATGACTGTAAGCTGGTTCTATATTTTCATTAACAAATGATTCTCATTTGTAGTAGATTAAAAAGCATAGGAATATTTTATGATGCCAGGAGGTAGAATTGCCATGGAGCAGAGTGTTTACGTATAGATGCACTAAGCTCAGGCTCAGTGGGTTGGTGATGTATTAAAGAATGTCAGTGTCATTTAAGAGTTTTAGAATTGCAGAGTTTAAATACATTTAGCAGTGAAAATAGTCCAGGTATTGCTGAGCTTAACAATAGAAGTACTTGGTGAAACCCTTAATGCAATACCTGTACGAAATGTTTTGATATAGCAAATGGTAGATAAAGTCTTGTGTATTACTGTAGAATCTTTTCAAATTTTTAAATGCTTATAATTAGACCAAGAAAACGTTCTCTTTAAATAGACAGTACTGCGCAAGAAGCTTCAGAAAGCTTCTTCTAATCATTTTGAGAAAAAGATGGGTAGATTATAAGTAAATAATTTATGGATATGTTTCAAGGAACTATGAGCATTAATACTATAAGCATACATTGGGGTCTTTTGTATCATCTAAAGTATGCTGGAAACTTATCAACTATAACAACACCGACTGTTAAGGTGACTTGAGTACAATGCTTGGGGTATATAGATCTCAGTGTATCATAGGTAAATAAATATTTCACTTTTTTCTTTTTAGTTCTTTTATAGGCAAGACTGGAAAAAGAGATTTTTTGTTTGTGGAGTCTTACAATGTTTTTAAGATTTTCTGCCAAATCTGAATTATCCACAAACAAATGTAGTTTACTTATTGTAAGTATTAATGTGACCTTATCAAATTCATAGAGATGAAGGTGAAATCTAATTCAGGCTGCATTCCTGGCCAGACTGCCCGGAGTTCATATTCTGCCATAAAAACCTGATGAAGTCGTATTAGTGGATGACTAAAAACAAATAATTCTAAATGAACTTAATCCTGAGTGATTATTCTTCCAAATGCAAAGGACCACACAGTGGTGCAGAATCCTAGTCCTAGATGGTCAAAGCTATATTTTATCTCCCAAAACACCACCTAAAACAAAGCACCATTCTCCACTAGGGAAGTGATACAGAGTTGATGCATTTAGCTTTCCCAAAACTAACACAAATGTGTGGATTTTGAGGTGTTAAACACCTTTACTTACTCTTGTGGATTTATAGCCAATCTCCCTTCAAGGACTATAATATAATTTGGAAGGCTGTTTTCCCTCTGGGTGACTTTACCTGTAAGCTTTTGTATAACAATTTGGTGGTGGTTTGTTGATGATATGATGCTATTATGAAGGATCCTTCTACCCCCTGCTCCTCTCCTTATACCCACATAACAACCCTTTTCCCGGTTGGGGCTGTAGGAAATGAGTAATGCTTAACCCATTTGTGTGATCAATTCACTTAAGCAGCTACTGTGAAATGTTAATCACAACTTTAATTTGTACTGCATTAGCATTTTGATTAACTTGTAGGCTTGCTAGCACACTTGAAGCGCTTTTACTCATAGTTACAGCTCGGAAATGACTTTTTGATTAATTAAGTTTGTTAGACAGCAGCTGAGCTTCCTGAATGCTAACCTTCTGGGGGTAAAAGTTCAGGAGAAAGTTACTATGAACAACTGTTGCTATTGAAAAAGATTCTTATAAATGTACTTATAGCATTTTAATTATTGACAAAATATTGTATCATTACTTGCAAGTGACCTGAACCTTTAAAGGAGTGGCTTTTCTGTCAAGAAAGCTTTTTCAGGTTTTCCCATCATTGTAAAACTTCTGGGAGCTCTTGAACTAAATAGTGCATTTTCTAGCAGATGTCTAACAACTAATGTTTTAACAAGCTGCCTAGGATCAATTTCCGTAATTTTTTTAAATAAACTTTTTGCTTGAGAATAGTTTTACATTTCCAGAAAAGTTGCAAAGATAGTACAAAGTTCCCATATACCTAGAACCTATTTTTCTTCTAATATTGACGTCTTAAATATATTAGTAAGGTACATTTGCTACAATTAATAAGCCAATTTTGGCAAATAATTATTAACTAAAGTCTATACTTATTCACAATTCTTTTTCACCTAATATCCTTTTTCTTTTTAAAATTTTTTTCTTGATATATAATACTTGTACCTATGTTGAGGGTACATATAACATTTTGATACAGGTATACAATGTGTGATGATCCCTAATGCCGTTTTCTATTCTGGAGTCTCATTGTAGATATCCCTTTAAATTCAGTAGTCATTTCTCCGGCTCCTCTTGGCTCTGAAAGTTTCTCAAACTTTCCTGTTTTTGATGATCTTTCCATAGTGTTTTGCATTCTTGTGATACTTTATAAATAACAACTTGGTTTTTATAAATTAATG